>NC_000012.12:116702552-116854067 GCF_000001405.40 Homo sapiens
TGGGATTACATGTGCATGCCACCAGCCCTGGCTAATTTTTGTATTTTTAGTAGACATAAGGTTTCCCATGTTGGCCAGGCTGGTCTCCAACTCCTGACCCCAAGTGATCCGCCCGCCTTGGCCCCTCAAAGTGCTGGGATTACAGGTGTGAGCCACTGCACCTGGCCTATCATTCCTTGAAAAATACAAAGTTGCTGCTGTTCTAGAAAACAATCAAAGGTCAATCATTTGTCTTTTCAGGGCCTCCTCTTCTCATCAGCAGGCAGGGACAGTGCATCGACCCAGAGGCCTGGGAGAGGCAGGAATAATGATGCGCCAGAGAGAATTCTGGCTTCGGGAGAATCAGAGACTTAACAAATATAATGCTGACAATATGACCATTATGACACAAGAAACTATTTGTATCCATTGTCCTTTCCTCGCCTGAAATAACCTATTGCTTCCTACTCGGTGATGACATTTTTCAGGCACCAAGAGTTGCCCGTGGAACAAGAAGTACATAAACTTCCTTGCTTTGTAGAAAACAGATTCCGTTTTATAAGTGGTTTAGTATTTAGACACTACCTCCAAAGGTTGGGAAGGCCCTTACAAAGCAACAGGAGTCGGCCAGAATGAAAAGAATCAGCCGATGGCTGGGAGGCGGAGGCTTCAGTGAGCCGAGATCGCACCACTGCACTCCAGCCTGGGCGACAAAAGTGAGACTCCATCTCAAAAAAATAAAAATAAAAAAATAAAAATAAATAAAGGAATGATAGACTTGCCAATCTGCCTTGGAGAAGCAACAGACGGCTAAATCGTAGGGTTCCTGGCATTGCATTTGCCCACATTTGCCAGCAGATGGCGACGTGATCCTGCAATGTTGCATTAGTGCAACCCCGGGCAATGAAAGGTCAGGGACAGGGCACCTGAAGCTGGCTACTTGGAGACTTGGGAACCTCATCTATTGCTTTGCAGAGGTCCGAACACCACTAAACACATTTGGGAGGGAGGAACAGAGGAAGGTCGACCAATGACGTGTTTAAAACAGCTGCAAGGATCGGATGAAATTTGCAATTGGCTTGAGCTTGAACTCCAGATAATCTCCAGAATAAAGACATGGGGGTGGGAGTTAAAACAAAGAACTTGATGCAAATTAGGGTCAAACAATGATCCCCTTATGGCACATCCATTCCAAGGAATATCTTCAGTCATTAGAAAACCAAGTGGTGGTCTGAGCACGGTGGCTCATGCCTGTAATCCCAGGGCTTTGAGAGGCTGAGGCAGGCAGATCACTTGAGGCTGATTCAAAACCAGCCTGGCCAACATGGCAAAACCCCATCTTTACTAAAAACACAAAAATTAGCCGGGCATGGTGGCATGCACCTGTAATCCCAGCTACTCTGGAGGCTGAGGCAGGAGAATCTCTTGAACCTCAGAGGCAGAGGTTGCAGTGAGCTGAGACCACACCACTGCACTCCAGCCTGGGTGACCCAGTGAGACTCTGTCTCAAAAAAAGAAAAAAAGAAAAAAAAATTAGACAAATTGAACTTCATCAAAATTAAACTTCTATGCTTCCAAGAACGCCATCAAAAAAGTGAAAAAAACCAACCACAGAAAGGGAGGAAATATTTGCAAATCTGATCTAGAATATATAAAGAATTCTAACAACTCAAAAATGAAAAGACATAAAAGCTAATTTTAAAATGGGCAAAGGATTTAGATACATCTCTCTCCAGAGAAGATACACAAATGGCCAATAAGCACATGAAAAGATGTTCAACATCATCAGCCATCAGAGATGTGCAAGTCAAAACCATCCTGCGATAGACCCCACTTTACATCCACTAGGATGGCTATAATTTTAAAAAGCAGACAATGACAAGTGTTGGCAAGGATGTGATGAGAAATTGGAATCCTTGTACATTGTGGGTGGAAATGCAAAATGGTATAGCTGCTTTGGCAAACAGTCTAGTAGTTCCTCAAAAGGGGAAACACTGATCAAATTTGACCCAGCAATTCCACTCTTTCATATCCCAAGAAAACTAAAAACATAATTCATGTCCACGAAAAACTTGGACATGAATTTTAAAGCAGCATTATTGGCCAGGTGTAGTGGCTCACGCTTGTAATTCTAGCACTTTGGGAGGCCAAGGCGGGCAGATCACTTGAGGTCAGGAGTTCAAGACCAGCCTGGCCAACATGGCGAAACCCTGTCTTTACTAAAAAAAAAAAAAATACAAAAATTAGCCAGGCATGGTGGCACATGCCTGTAATCCCACTATTTGGGAGGCTGAGGCAGGAGATAACTTGAACCCGGGAGGCAGAGGTGGCAGTGAGCCAAGATCGCACCACTGCACTCCAGCCTGGGCAATAGAGCGAGACTGTCTCAAAAAAAAAAAAAAAAAGAAATAAAGAAAAGAACAGAAAAAAATCATTATTCATGAGAGCCAAAAGCGGAAACAATCCAGATGTCCATCAACAGATGAGTATTTTAACAAAATGTGGTATAGCCACACAATGGAATACTATTCGGTCATACAAAGGGATGGAGTACTGGTCCATGCTACAACATGATTGAACCTTGAAAACATCATTTTAAGTGAAGGAAGCCAGACACAAAAGACTCTACTAAAAAGACCCTGTCTCCACTAAAAATACAAAAATTAGCCGGGCATGGTGGCATGTGCCTGTAGTCCCAGCAACTCGGGAGGTTGAGGCAGGAGAATCACCCAAACCCGGGAGGTGGAGGTTGCAGTGAGCTGAGATTGTGCCACTGCACTCCAGCCTGGCTGACAAGAGCGGAACTCCATCTCAATCAATCAATCAATCAATCAATCAATAAAATTGATAGTGGTAATGGATGCACAACTCTGTGAATAAAGTCATTGACTTGTATACTTCAAATGGGTGAATTGTAAGTAAATTATATCTCAATAAAGCTGTTACCAAAAAATCAAATGCTAGACTATTTAACATGGAAAACCATTCCCATTACATTGTTAGGTGAAGAAAGGGAGAGAGAGAGAATGGGGCCCCAGGGCTGCTGGGTTCCATAGCTCCCTGTGAATGATGGCCCTTGGAGATGCAGAATGAAATGTGGGATTTCACCCCTCTCCATGATCCATGCATGCGTGGTGGAAATTGACTCTGGCTGCCCAACTCCGCAGTGGCGTGCAACTCACTTTCTCTCCAACTCATCCTTCAAAGCCCTTTAAGGGATATTTGGTTACAACATGGTAAAATATAATGAGATTCCAATTTTTGTTTCTATTAAATATATTAATATATAAGCGCATGTGTGCATGAAAATAGATACACATCAAAGGATAACAGTGGTTGTCTACAGGTAGAAAGGTTATGGAGCTTTTATTTTCTCCTTCATATTTGTATTGCTCTAATTTTCTGTAATGCAGTGTATTAATTTGCAATTAGAAAAATATATATATGTATTTTAAAATGTGTCTATAACCCCAACACTTTGGGAGGCCAAGGTGGGCAGATTGCTAGAGTCTAGGAGTTCAAGACCACTTTGAGCAACATGGCAAAACCCCGTCTCTACAAAAATACAAAAAATTAGCCGGGCATGGTGGTGTGCACTTGTAGTCCCAGATACTCCGGAGGCTGAGGTGGGAGGATCACTTGAGCCTGGGAGGTTGAGGCTGCAGTGAACCGTGATCACACCAGTGTACTCCAGCCTGAGTGACAGAGCAAGACCCTGTCTCAAAAAAAAAAAAAATTAAAAGATAAAAATAAAAACATATTGTTTTATTCTGTAAGTCTTCTCTGCCTGCCTCACTCACATAGTAACACTCCTTTTATCCTCACATTTATAACCCTGTTTAACAGGTAGTGGCATAATTGCTTATCTTCTCCAACAGACATCTGAAGACAGATATCATTCCTAATTTATCATTCCATCCAAAACCCAGAAATGCCTGCCTTTGATATGCCTGGTGAACATAGTACGCATTACCAAATACTAAGCAGTATCTTCTGTGTGAAGCCTACATTAAAATTTTATTCAAGACTTTGTACCCTTTGAGGAGACAGTAATACAGTCCCTTCAATGCTTTATATTATCATGAAGGATTATTTCCCTTTTTGCCCTTGCTGCCAGGAAGCTTACTTGCATCAACTGTGTTGCTGGCTTACAGTTGCACATCTGATTCTAACTTTCTTCCTTGAGTCTAATGTGTGGCATTTCCTCAACTTCTTTTTGAAAATAAACCAGCTACACTCAGTGTAGCTCTATGCATGAGGTAGGAATAAATAAATAAATAGTGGCTACTCTGTTGAGGATAAAATATTTTCTTTGGAAATCCAAAGTGGTATTTTATCCTAAGAGGGATGGTAGCATCAACATCTAAGGGTGCTCAGGCACAATGTGTCCAGAACCAGAGGCTTGGAGCAACTCAGTTTTAAGCCCCGGAAGGGATGAAGCATCTTCCAGTTCTGTATACTCCCCAAGTACCTACACAGAGCTGGGCGAAGAGTAAGCACCCTTTAAATACCTGCTGCGTGAATACTCAGGGCTCAAAATTCCGTATCCTTGCCATGCAAGGGGTCACAAAGTTTAACCCAGGGTTTCTCAGCCTTAGCACTTCTGACACTCAGGCCAGTGAGTTCTTTGTTGTGGGCTGGTTGTCCTGGGTGTTGTGGGATGTTGAACAACATCCTTGGCCTCTACCCACCAGATGCCAGTAGCACCCCTGCACATAAATTTTTTGACAATCAAAAATGTCTTCGAACATTGCCAAATATCCCCTGGGGGCAAAATCTCCCTCTGGTTAAACAGCATGGGTTTTTGCCAGGTGTGGTGGCATGGGCCTGTAGTCCCGGCTACTTGGGAGGCTGAGGTGGGAGGATCACCTGAGATCAGGGATTGGAGACCAGCCTGGGCAACACAGCAAGATCCCATCTCTAAAAAAAAAAAAATTAAAAATTAGTCAGGCATGGTGGCTCATGCCTGTAGTCCCAGCTACTCAGGTGACTAAGATGGGAGGATCACTTGAGCCCAGGAGTTCGAGGCTGCAGTGAGCAGTGATTGTGCCACTGCACTCCAGCCTGGGCCACAAAGCAAAACTTTGTCTCAAAACAAACAAACAAAGAAACAAAAACAACAACAAAATGTCTTCAAACATTGCTTGAAGTGGGTGGTGTAAAATCTCCCACTGATTAAACAGCACTGGTTTCAAGCAACACCTTCCAGGTCCTAGAAGCCACCAACTACAATTCTAGAATACCAGGGCTGGAAGGACCCCATGCATTATCCTGTTGACATCCTTTCATAGACAGGCCAATGGGCCCAGAAATAAGAGACTGAGGCACAGCCCCTGCCCACAGGAAACAACAAAGGGTGATCAAAACGTGCCAAGGCAACGCGCTGCCCCGGCCCTGCTTGCACGCAGATTGGAGTTGCAGGTGGCTCCTCCATGTCATGGTGTAAACTTGTGCTAAAATTAACCTGAGCGTCTGAGACTTCCTCTATAAAATGACAAAAAAGAACACCTGGCTGGGCGCGGTGATTCATGCCCTGTAATCCCAGCACTTTGGGAGGCCAAGGTGGGCAGATCACCTGAGGTCAGGACTTCAAGACCAGCCGGCCAACATGATGAAACCCCATCTCTACTAAAAATACAAAAATTAGCCAGGCATAGTGGCATGCACCTGTAGTCCCAGCTACTTGGGAGGCTGAAACAGGAGAATCGCTTGAACCCGGGAGGCAGAGGTTGCAGTGAGCAGAGATCGCGCCACCGCACTCCAGCCTGGGTGACAGGACTCCATTCCAAGAGAAAAAAGAAAAGGAATGCCTGGCTGGGTGCAGTGGCTCACGCCTATAATAATCCCACCGTTTTGGGAGGCTGAGGCAGGCAGATCACTTGAGCCCAGGAGTTCAAGACCAGCCTGAGCAATATATCGAGATCCCCATCTCTACTAAACATTTTTAAAAAATAACTGGGTGTAATGATGTGTGCCTGCAGTCCCAGCTACTCAGGAGGCTGAGGTGGGAGGATCACTTGAGCCTGGGAGGTTGAGGCTACAGTGAACCAAGATCGCGCCACTGCACTCCAGCCTGGGTAACAGAGTGAGACCCTGTCTTGCTCTCTCTCTCTCTCTCTCTCTCTCTCACACACACACACAAAAGAAGAATGCTGGTCTCTGAAGATGGGGATGGGACGCTGCACGTGCAGAGTGGCACATGGCAAGTGCTTCATAAATGTTTTTCTTTGTCTGAGTATGAATGGTTAAGAGGCCTATCCCACTTTTCGTGTTGGCGGAGGGTGCAGGAGGAAGAAGGGGGTAGCTGTGAGTATTTATTTAAGCCTTGGGTCTTCTCTGCACCAGCAGCATGCCCAGTTCCCTCTTCTGCAAGGGCTACTTTCCTGAGTCCCTGTTCACAAAATCGCCCGGACCCAGGAAAGAGTCCTGATCTGTCATCCCCACCAGATGGTTCTCATCTATAGAAACAGCTTCATTGTTTTCAGGAGAGAGAGCTCCACGCAGGCACGGGGCCCATAATCTCTAGACAACGATCACATTGAGGACAGAAAACCTATGGCATTGGTGCCACCAAGTGGCACAGAAAGCAATTGTCGGTGTCTGTGCCACCCGCGCTGCCTTGCTCTCCACTTTCCATCTCTCCATCTTCTCCTCCTTCCCTTGAAATCGCACCGCAAGTGTCATTTGACTACACTGCCATCCTTCGAGGTCTGAAAGGGCTGCAGTGAGAAGAAAGGGCTTTACGATCACATGTGACTCGGCTCTGTAGTTCCTCCCCGTGCTAAATCAGGTCAATGAGCTGATTTGTGTCAAATAAATTAGCCCAGCCGGCTGCTAAGCTGCTCCAAGCCTATCTGTCTTGGGCTTCCAGGTTGGCATTTAGCAGGCTGCAGGCACAGCCCAGGCAGGTATGGATGCCACGGACGGAGCTCGAGGAGCACGCCCTGAAGTGCTGCCCAGATGCAAACCTCCCGGGAGAAACTGAGTCCAGCACGTGCCTAGGGAAGAGAGCACAGTGGATTCCAGCTCCCGACATCCTGCTGCAGATGCCACGGAGCATTTAGGAACATCTTTAGAAACTGAAGTCCTTTATACCCTCGAAAACCACCATGTAGACCAGCAGCTTGACAGGGCGGAGCTGGCTGGTGCTGGGGGAAATGTGGACTGCCTTGAGCTCAAATAATCTTACAACACCAGGTAGCCAGTAAGACGGTCCACAGATCCTCCCCTAGCCTTTTTATATTTTACATTTCTGCATTTAGCAATTCACTAAAATAAATGACAGGCTCAGGAGATCTGGAGTGCAGTTTTCCCGATCTCTGCTCTCTCAGGAAAGTCGAGTCACGCCGAGAGACACCCTGCCGTGACAGGTTTCTTCAGCATCCCTAATGCAGGTCAACTCCGGCCGCGACAAATGCCTATAATTTATTTGTGCAGAACAAAAAGACTTCCTTCCCCACTGCATAAAATCAGACAAGGAAAAAGCAGGCAAAGCTAAACTCCTGTGCAATTATGAAAGGGTTTTAACCTCTAACTGGGCTTCAATCTTCCAGGCAGGATGATAGAAGTGGAAAGTGCGCTTGCCTGCTCTGCAAATGAATTCGCTATCATTGGATTAAATCAATCTAACAGGAGCTAATTATTTTAAAATAATATGGACAGCAGGGTCCTACCTTTATTTACATACAAATACAAAATCCACGTTTATATACAAAATACAGGCAAAACGCTCCAGCGGAACTTTAATTAGTGGTTATCTCTAGGGGCTGGGAATCTAATTTGGCACAATTTAATTTCTTTGTAAGTTCATACATTTTAAGGTTTCTGCCTGGTAATCACAAAAGCAGAGAAAGGAAAACCTTTTACTGAGCTGAGCAATGCCTGTAGAAGCCCTGCTTAGTAGGAGTTCCAAGATGCTCTGTGTATCTCAGGTGAAGCACACCTAAATAATTGAGCACTGCATTAAGGCTCAGAAACGTAGTACCGTTGTGTGCTTCTCTGCCAAAAGGCAGCTATTTTTATGACAGAAAACACAGCAGCTGTTTTCACAGGTGCAGGGCAGCAGTACATGGGAAGTTGGTCCCAGCAGAGAAGGATATGGTGTCTCTTTAAAACTGGAGGAGGAAGAGGCAGAAAATGGTGAGCCCCAGTTGAAATCTGCAAGAGAGAAGGAGGAAGCCCTGGTTTGGAGAAAAACGGGCTCCAGATGGCTGGGCTACATTTGTCCTGTGAAAATCAAAAGCCTGGGACCCAGCCGCTGGGATACGAGGGCTCTGGTCTTGCTTTAACAGCCAGGGGGACTTTTGGCTTGTTACAAAAATTGGAATTTGGATCTGCAAGATACGCTAGCCATCACCCTTAATTGACAAATGAGGAAACCAAAGCCGGAGAGGGTAATTTACTCAAGGTCATTAAGGTCAGTGCTCTTGTCAATAAAATTAGGATATTGCTCACATACTTCATACTGCTTTTGTTACACACACACACACACACACACGCACACACAGAGCCAATGTATGGAAACATCCCTGAGAATATATAATGTCATCACATTTACTATTCAAATTAGCATCAACTGGTCAAATATTTATTCAGGTAGTAACTTACTCAACATTTCTATCTTGACATCCCCCAGTACAACTTAATACAATGCCCCAATCCCCACAGGACAGGACAACACTCTCTCTCGCTCTCTCTCTTCCTTAAGAATAGTGAGATGTGGCCAGGCGCGGTGGCTCACTCCTGTAATCCCAGCACTTTGGGAGGCCGAGGTGGGCGGATCACGAGGTCAGGAGATCGAGACCATCCTGGCTACTAACACGGTGAAACCCCGTCTCTACTAAAAATACAAAAATTAGCTGGGCACGGTGGCGGGCGCCTGTAGTCCCAGCTACTCGGGAGGCTGAGGCAGGAGAATGGCGTGAACCCAGGAGGCAGAGCTTGCAGCGAGCCCAGATCGTGCCACTGCACTCCAGCCTGGGCGATGGAACGAGAATCCGTTTCAAAAAAAAAAGAATAGTGAGATGTGACCAACATAGCCTGGAATCTTAAATTACTGATAATGGTGATTTCTCATTTAGACAACACTTTTTTCCCCTCCTCAGACAGGGTCTCACTCTGTGGCCCAGGTTGGAGCACACTGGCGCAATGACGGCTCACTGCAGCCTTGACCTCCTGGACTCAAGCCATCCTCCCGCCTCAGCCTCCTGAGTAGCTGGGACTACAGGTGTGCACTACCATGCCTGGCTCCTTTTTTTTATTTTTTGTAGAGACAGGGTCTCCCTATGTTGCTCAGGCTGGTCTCGAATTCTGGGCTCAAGCAATCCTCTCACCTTGGCCTCCCAAAGTGCTGGGATTACAGGTGTGAGCCACCACACCCGGCTGCCAACACCACTTTCGATTTTGGGATAATCTGGGTGCACAGTGATCAGAAGCTTACCTACCCCACGTTGCATAAAAAAAAGTATGAATTTAAAAATTCCAAGAGTAAACTACCCTATGAAAACCTCTGGCAGTGCTGATGAAAACACATTTCTGGTAGTGATATGTCTTGGTCCCTCTGGTCTCACAGAATGTGTAGTCCTGAGAAAAAATAAACCTGGACTCTTGGTAAAATATTTGAATAATTAACTGCTTTGCTCATTGGTTGTAACTGGCAAGTCATTCTCTTTACTACATTAAAGTCTGCACTTTCATTTTACAGACAGTCCTACAGTTCAACTCCAACATCAGGGACTGAGTCGTACACAGGAAGATCACTGAGTAGGTTCTGTGGAGACGCAGTCGGCCCATATGCACGTCACCACTCGGCTCCCAGCTCAGGTGCAGACCAACGGCGACCACTTGCTCCACTTTGCTCTGTGACAGCAGACGAGGTAAGGCATGTTGCAGATACATGCTGAATATAGGGATGCCTGTACACAAAACTGCACTCATGCTGTGATAACACGCAAAAGGTCACACACTGGAAGAGCCTTGCCCAACGAACGATAGACTAACAGGCCAGAGGCGGGGAAAGCTTCTCGGAGTCCCACTATCTTCTTTGTTTTTATTGCTCCTACTTACTTATGTGATACCTTTTTAGTAGAATGACTAGTTTTCTAAACAGAACCTGTAATGACAGGCTCACATTTCTTCCTCAACTCCCACCTCCAAAGCCACTCCATTCAAAGAACTGCTGGTGAGGTGCTGGGGAGTCAATCCGTCGTAGAGGGGAAGCGTTCTACCCCTCCAGATCCTTCTGCAGACAGGAGGGTGTCTGCATTCGGCGGAGTCCAAGAGTGCGGTGAGGACACAGTGGCAAAGGAATAATGCCATTCCTTGAGGCAGCGCTGGGCTAGTAGAGACCTGTGAGGAAGTAATGTGTCCTGTGGGGATTTCAGGGTAATTTAATCAGCAGCACTTCAGCAGGGTAGAAAGCAAGGGCGGGGAAAAATAATGAAGTCAGCACTCAGCTACCAGGAGCTCCTCTGTTCAATCTAACGGGGAGATATGACCCCAGAGCAGGGCTTCCCTCCCTCCACCCGGCTCCCACTTCCAGCCAGGTAATTCTGTGTCGTGGGGGCTGTTGGGCACCATCCCTGGCCTCCCTCCACGAGTGCCCACAGTACTGCCCTCCTCCCCACCTGTGACAAAAATGTCTCCAGACATTGCCAAATGTTCCCTGGGGGGCAAAATTGCCCCTGTTGAGCACCACTGCCCTAGATGAACTGGAAAAGTTGGTTTGTGAATATGTGAGCTTAGTTGTTTCTAACACAGGGCTGAAAAACAAGAGAAGGGGACAAAGGCTGCTTTCATATAAAAATGTACTGTAGTAATCAGTAAGAAAAAGAAACAACATTGGCTAAGTCACGAATAGGCATTTCACCATATGTACATGATAAATGGCCAATCAAAATAAGGAATGGGGCTCATTCTGCTGGAAATTAAATACATTCAAACAAGAACAGAGATCCATTAGCAAAATGTTTAAAAATAATATCACAGGGTTACCAGGGGTATGACAAAAATGGACACTTCCATACACACTAGGTGAATATATTGGTGAAAATAGTTCAGATAAACATACAACCATGTATGTAAAAGTATTTATCATCAATGCATTATTTGTAGTAGCAAAAACAACAAGCAGCCTTGGAAACCAGTTAATGTCCTCAGCAGGGAATTAATAATATTATTGTATATTCATGAAATTGACACCATGTGGCCACACAAATGCATTACACAGGCCTCTATGTAACATAGGATATTCATTAGAGAATTGTTTTTCAAGAGGACAAAGTACTTTCATTTTTGCCTAGAAAATGGGGGAAGACAAAAATGCGCTTCTCTCTAGGTTGTGTGATTTTAGGTTATCCTAAGTTTCATCCTTACGTGCTCCTGAATTATCTGAAATATCGTATCTTTAAAAACAGTAACAACAATAGTAACAAGAGCTCTGTAATTCCTACCCTTCCAACCTCAGGAGCCCACCCACCCCTATCCGAGCCGACCCCTGACTGCCCCTGCCATTGCTCCCTGCTGAGTTGCAGACATTGACTTCTTGCCAAGCCTCAGGCCTTGCTCACATCGACACCTCACAGTGACCCTGAGAGGCAGATGCTGTGACCCCATTTCACAGATGAAGGGCCTGAGCCACAGAGGAGGAAGACTGCCTCAGCCACGCCGCTAGTAAGTGGTAGTTCCCAACTCTAGAGTCCCAAAAGAATTCTGTCCTACTTATGAAAAGTATATCCAATAAGCAGTACCTCCCTGTGTTTACAACTTATCTGCTGATCCCAAGGATGGGAAAAGCTGCACTCAGAAACTTGCAAATTGTGCAACTGTTCCCCACGATTCCCTTGGGGCCAGTGCCGACTGAGGCATCTCCAGGAGGCCCCAGTTGGGCTTGGGGACATGCTGAGAGGTGACAGCACTGCTCTCAAGTCATATCCTCTGCTTCTGCAAAAGCTGTGGAGCTCACCCATCAATAGCAGCTCCATGCCGGGCGCAGTGGCTCACGCCTGTAATCCCAGCACTTTCGGAGGCTCAGGCGGGCAGATCATCTGAGGTCAGGAGTCCGTGACCAGCCTGGCCAACATGGTGAAACCCCGTCTCTACTAAAAGTACAAAAACTTAGCTGGGTGTGGTGGTGTACGCCTGTGATCCCAGCTACTCAGGAGGCTGAGGCAGGAGAATTGCTTGAACCCAGGAGGGGGAGGTTGCAGTGAGCTGAGATCACGCCATTGCACTCCAGCCTGAGCAACAGAGCAAGACTCCATCGCAAAAAAAAAAAAAAAAAAAAAAGGCTCTAGCATTGCCAGATCCCAGGCCCTGTGGAAGGTATTTCCCTCCCTCTTTTGTCCTTGCTTGTCTCAGAGCCCTTTTCACAGTCTCTTGTGTGCTTCTTTCCCTGTTAGGACCAATCTTTACAACTCCAGCAAGCGCAGCAAATAAGATGCAGAACTGGGGGAGATGCAACGTATGACTCAATTCCCTTGAGCCGAAAACACTCACTTATTAACAATATTTTTTTCTTTTTTTTGAGACAGAGTCTCACAAAAACAGGCACACGCCCCCACACCCGGCTAATTTTTGTATTTTTAGTATAGATGGGGTTTCACCATATTGGTCAGGCTGGTCTGAACTCCTGCCTTCAGGTGATCCACCTGCCTCAGCCTTCCAAAGTGCTGGGATTACAGGCATAAGCCACCACGCCCCACCAATGAAATGTTTTCTAAAGGTGTTTTCATCCCTTTTGTGATCTCCTAAACTCCCAAGGTGTATCACACACTTCGCTGGGCTCTGGGCAAACAAAACTTAGACAAGGTCCCTGATTCTAGAAACCCTCGGTCGAGGGAACCACAAACCAACCAGAGTGGAGGGCAGGGAGAGGTCCTAGGTTGGGAGCTGGGAGCCTGGAGCACGTGCCAGGTGCTCTGCAGCCCAGCTTCATTATGGAGGCTCAAGCGCTGTGAATTTCCAAAAACAGTGAACACACCCCTAGCTGATTGAAATACAAAAAACATATTCCACAGCCAAATGAAAATGACTTTTGGATCCTCCACCTAATTTGGGTGTTTATGCCGCCTCGCCCCTCTTTTGGCCTGGACAATTGAAATATATCTGCTCTCAGGGGAGACGCCCACGGTGTCAGGGCTGGAGTTGGCAAGAGACAGGGGGAAGAGGACTAGACCTGGAGTCAGAGATGAAGTTCTTGTCTGGGATCTGTCACTAAGTCTCAGCGGGGACCCAGGAAGTCACTCCACCTCTCATAGTTCCTCATCCACAAAGTGGAAATACAAGCAAGTTTAATTCTCCATCGTAAGGTTGGAGCTCCTGTCTGTGAAAGGACTGGAAATGTAAAATGCGCTCTTCAAGTACAAAGGCAGAGAGGATCCATAAACAGGCACAGGCTGCCCTTTGGTATAAACTGTTCACATTAAATCTATGTTATGTTGCTCAAGAGTTAAAATAAGCTCAAAGGAGAGGCTGATTCCAATGTCAACCCAGGGAAGACAGACACTGAAATTCCAAACTGAGTTACCAAAAACAATAGATGGATGAGACATGCAGACATGCCACAATCCGGCACATCAGAGTTCGATGTAGTCCTGCTGCAAACACATGGAATCCGAGAAGTCCAATGCAAACGGAATAGATTTCTTGGGATCTAATATTTTTCAAATTGCCTGACCAGCTTACCTTCTAGGAAAACTTATTTAAGGGAGGCAAATAATTTGGGGAGATGAGTATAAGAGGTAGTAGGAGGAAGCTAAGGGAAATCACCACTACATATTGCAGGAATGTATTAGAAGGCAAATATGGCCCAAAGAAAAAGCTCCACTGAAAAAAACATTGAATACTGACCACAGAATTAGCACCTTGCTCCCAGGTCAATAAAGTGAACCAAAAAAATTACAAAGACCTTGCTCAATCCTGAGGTTCGTGAGGAATATAGGAGAGTTGTGTGTTCACGTGACTCCTGAAAACAAAGAGCAGTACTATTCGAAGGGCATGATGTCTTGATCTTAGGATCAAATATTCTAGACCTTGAGCCGGAGAATCTGCATTACAGTAGGAAAAATGGGGAGTGCTTTATGCCTGTGGATTCAGGACACACCAGCAACCTACACGTGTAGCATTCTCTAAGTCATAATGACCATTCTCATCTCCCACTGAGGGCAGGTGTAAGACTCTTCTCTTGCAGTGCTCTGATAGAAAGCTGGGTTTCTTCTTCTTCTCTATAAATCATAGGGAAACCAAATATTTGTACCTGTTACAGCCCCAAAGCTGAAAGCAATAAAGAATAAACACATACAGCAAGCTACGAGGTGCGTCTGTTTAGGAATTGCCTCAACGTTGGGTTTCTATTGATAGAACAGGGGAGGAGGTTGCCTCTGACCTTCCTGAGGCTCCCACTGTACCCTGGCTGAGTAGCCCACAGTTAATTTTAAGTGGCAAAAGAAATGAGAACAAATTCCTCCAGGAAGAGAAATTAGATTTCTGCTAAAACAGTGCTCTCCATAGGGTATATGAGCACATTCGACTACCACTGGAAAATAACCTGAGGGCAGGCACATGGTGCCCACTGTTAGAAATCGTGCAGTTAGATTAGAATGGAAGAGTGTCTGAGTTTTTAGATAATTTTACACGTCAGGATATGGCTAACAGGTCACGTTCAGGGCCTATGCTTGATACTGTCGAAATACAAACAAAAATAACTGCCTAGAGAGAATATTCACGTCCTAAAAGAGAAAATGTTGTATCTGGGTGGAAGAATGATTTAACTCCTGAAACTCGAGAACACAGAACAACAACAAAAATAATTTCCTTGAACATATTCAACTAGAATGGCAAGGCATTTTCCTACATAAAACATTAGAATGTTCCCATTACTCCAAAGGAATCCAATAAATAATTTTACAGTGAAAGAGCCTGGATCAAAACTGGAAGTGACACCGGCCCCCGATGAACACAAGTCACAGGTCCCTGTGCAGGTCCCAGGGCTGAGTCATCCAAGAACTCCACCACCACCGTGAGCCCGGCCTCCGGTTTCATCTTTCCCGAATGGGACTGGCTGGAGGGGCCAAGCTGCTTTACAGAAGAGTTCCATCTGGTAAGCCCGGGTGGTGAGCGAAGCCAAAGATGACAACACGAGAAGGGGTCAAAGCCAAGGTTTCCTCACGCTGCCTTTGTCTTCTTCCTGCAGCCTGGCCCGATGGCTGAAGCTGGGTCCCAGGAGGCGAGTTCTTCAGCGGGGCCTCCTCACCCAGGCTGGAGCAAGTCCGCTGCACCCGTCAAGCGGGGAAGAGCTCGGGCGGGCTTTCTCCATAGCAATACTTTGCTATGGGGTCCCGGTAGGTGTTCTCATGCTGCACGCTCTGTTGGCAAAAGGAAAATAAGAGCGCAGTGAGAGCGAGCACAGCTTCACACACCTCCCTCTCGGAAGAGTGAGAGTGGATCGGGACTGTCAGACTCTCCCTGCAGGGGGCTGGCCGAGTCCATCTCCAAATGTCACTAAAGGCTCCAGGGCACTTTCTGGAACAAAGAAGAATGCTCAACCCAGAATGCCAATGAAGAGCATGAACACAGACATAACATCGCTGTGGGACTGTTTCTTTTTATGTACACCAGTGAGTTTTTAAATAACTTTGCTGTGACCTGGTGACTCAAGACAACTACTTTTCCTCAAATTACTTGAAACAGTCTAAGATCCAATGGGTGTTTTGCACCTGATCCTGAGCTTCACTCAGTTCCCGTAAGGAACCCTGCAGAGACACTAAGGAGATGCACTTTAAATTGCTTTCATAAAGTTTATGTACCTAAAAATTTGGGGCATGAGCCAAATCCTACAATACCATGCAAGCCTCATTTGGCTAAGCAAATTGGAAGTGTGATTTAAAGCAGACAATCATTCCTGATGGCTAATTTTTCAGCAATTTGTTTTCATACAAGCAACTTGGGTTTTTGGCTAGTCTAGAATTCATTAATTAGTCCAAGACCAATGCTAAGCAACAAACTTGTAAATATTCATCCAATTTAACAGACATATAGCCAAGTCTTCTCTTTCTTGGGATACTTTTATCAAAACAAATCAAATGGCAATTGGGAAATCTTTTTATGGTAAAAAAGACCAAGTCCTAAAGTATAGTAGCTTCACTGAAGACTGGAAATAATTCCTGGGTTTTATCAGTGAAGGAAAGAAAATACTTCGCCTTTTCTAGCGTTTCTCAGAATGAGAGAGAATCTGAATCAAAATGAGTCATGTGTTCAGCCTTCCTCCTCATTTCCTTTAAAGCTCATTCAAGTGGAAAGCTCTTCAAGCAAAACAAGACCATCAGGAATTTCTTAATGTTTTCAAATGCTCATTATAATCCCTGAAACATTTACCCAATGATACTGAATGCTCGCAGAACAAACCAGAGACATGAGAAGGGGCATAAAATCCAAAGGTGGACTACAGAAATCTGGCAAAGGGTACAAGAGCTTTGGAGAATGACAAATGAGTCCGTTATCTCAGACGAAGCCAGTAAAATCTTAGAGACACCATGAATAGGAGCCAGAAGAAGTGTGCTTGTATAATAAACACGTCTGGTGATTTTACAAAGAGAGCTATGACAACTGCCCAACCACAATAGCTGAGAGCCGAGGAGACAGTGATGAAAAGGCAAAAGACTTTCAGATGCTTTCAGCAGCAGGTGCAATAATATTTAATGCCAAAAGAGTGAAGCATTTAATGACAGCACGCTAATATGTATTGAGAGCCTGACAGCCTACAGATTTATTCGTGTATTTTTAAACATTCACCTGCCTCATCCCCTTGAATCCTAAAATAAACAGCGACTCCATCCCAGAACAAATTGCTACTTACTCTAAACAAGTGGTTACTGGAAAGCCTTAGTCAAATTTCAAAGACAGGGAGGAGGGCCTTCTCTTAGAAGCTGACTATTAGGACTCTACCAGACTTAAAAATAATTTTAAGCTTCCACTTAAGGAACAAATGTACCAACCACATAGAAGAGATGCCAGTTGATTAGACCTTGATTTAATATAAATGCTTCACCTCCCCTAACTTGTATAAATCTCACGTTGACATTTTAAATACTATCATCACACCAAACAAAGCGTGACACGGCTTCGAGTCTCTTCTCCCTTACCACCCCACCAAAAGGATCGACAGTGTGTATTTTCTAGTTTCCTTCTAACCCGTCAGCTGCCATCCCACAGCTAGAGACATCACAGCTTCTGACCTGAGATGAGGTCCTGCATTTGGCCAGGCACAACTCAAAGTGATCTTCGACTGCCATGAAGAGGTTCTGGAATGCCACGGCTGCCCGGTTGAGGAAGCGCTCCAGGAGAAGTTGCTATGGAAACAAAAGTTAGTGCCTGTAATAAATTACCTAAGCCAGCACAAGGTGACCTTGGCTATCTCTCCTAAACTAAGAGAATGCTGATACAGGGAAGGGGGGAAGAGGAGGAGAAAAGGAGGGAGGGGAAAGGACACACGCGTGCACACACGTGCATGCCAAAACACCCTGGGTATCTTATTCATTAGATATGTGATTAGCAATACAATGATCCATTCTGCAAAAGAACCATTCAAGCAACTGGGAACCACCTCCTTTCCTTAGATAAAAGCTATTGTGCAGCAATTTCTGACACCTACAAAGCTCCTTTCTAAGTTTTATTTTCAGAGGAATCTCACATGAAGAGCCTAATGCTCATCATAAAACAGAGGCCGAAAGAAAAAAGGAGCCGCAGAACCAGGATCAACTCCCCATACCTTGTTGGGCTGCAGGCAGCAGGAGACACAGTACTCATAGGCGCTGCAGCAGCCGTTGGGCCAGCAGCCATCACAGCAGTACTGCTTCGTGCTAGGGACGTTGACATTACAGCAGCCATTTACCAGCAAATCCTTCCTCTCGCAAACGTAGCCTGAAAGTCAGAGACCAACCTTAGCATAAAACCAGCAGCCTTGCCACCTCCCTACCAGGGATGACCATGAAGCAGCAGTGAAAGTACACAGACAGAAGCTGGAGTCTGGGGCATCATCCTAAGCACCGGAGAGCTGGAAACTGGACATAATGTGAGTGGGGCTTACTTTCCCCAGGCAGTCGTTTCCAGGAAGCAGGCACTCCCCTGTTATCGCCAGGCTACACGTCGGAACCTACCTACACCTACTGTTTAGTCGGCTGGCACATGTCTGATTTCATCATCAGGTCAAGCTACGGCTACGTTCTCCTATTCTAACCTATGCAAGCCAACGTCTCATCTGTGCTTGAAGAAAAATGTCATTCTTTTTTGAACAAAAAGTTTAAAACAGAAAAAAACCGAGGCACTGATTCACAAAAGTGAGGTCCTTCTAGATTTAACAAACAAACCACTCTTTACAAATATCTTTCAGATGCTCGCTGCATACTGACTAATTTGGAGATTACAAAAATAGAAATATTCACATCTAACCCTTATAAACTGATTTATACGTGTACGTGCCACGGACTCAATCACCCTTTGGCCTTTGGGAATGCAGTTCTCTAATACTCAAGAAAGAAAAAAACCTCTTAATCCCCCCCTCAACTTCTTATAAATCTCATCATCTATATACACATGCCCCTTCCAACCCAGCCCATTCATGGCCAACTTTAGAGAAAAAATCTTCTTACAAAAGCTAATGTATTGTTCAGAGCTGCTAAGCAGACATTTCTCTACATCCTTCTGGGAATGGGACAGAAAAATGTAAGGATAGGTCCACAAGGGCCACCACTGGCCCCGAGGAAAGTCCCAGGTGCACACATGAGCTCCCAGGTGCACGTTCAGGCCCACAGGTGCAGAGCAGCTGCTCCCCACATCACTGCATTCCAAACACCCCAGCTTCTTCATCCTCAGAGAAGGAGACTTGCTGAAGTATAAGGTTGTTTTCAGAAACTACTTTAGAAAACAAAGTCTGTTCAAAAGCAGGAGGCACCAGTAGAACAACAGTAACAAAGAAACTAAAAGGGCCCTCACTTAAGACTTGGGCAAATGAGGTCTATAGAGAACTGGGTTCCAGATACTTGGGAATCGGTGCCTTTTGTGGTAGTTGTTGTTTATGTTATTCTGTCTTCTAAATTAAGAGAGGATGATTCTAATGCTATAGTAAATGTTTCTTGGGATTCTTCCTATTTCTACTCATTTTCTTTTCAGGGACTAGAAACAAACACAAAATGTAATTAAGTTAGTTAGCATTTTCCTCAAAATTCTGCTCAAAATAATAAACACATAGCAACTGTATATAATGTGACCTAAACTCTGCCAGTTGAAATTCTCTTTCTGCCTTTTACTTTTCATCTTGTAAGTGTCAGCATCTCAGGCATCCTTTTTTTTCCCCACTGCCAACTTACAGTATTCAGCCTTGAAATGCAGCTCTTTCTAGCTTGGTGAAAGCAAGCTCATCAAGAACTCTCATCTTGTATCAGACATCTACTAACTCAAACGTTATCTCCAACAAGGAGTCCTGTAAGATCACAACCTCATACTGTGTTGCTATTGCCTTGAAAATTAACTTCCAGCCTTTGAAAAGTTTGTAAATGCAAATGATCTTATTTAATAATGTGTTACCCCGGCAATATTCACAGTGGCATCTGCTTGCTAAGAAGCGTAAGTTCTTACATGCTTTCTTTACTAAACTACTTACTTCACCCATACTCATGGAGAAAAATAAAACCTATAGCTCTTGGATTTTTATTAATTGATTGATTCCTTCACTCCTGGAATTTTTTACTCAAAGAGTCCAAGAGTCTCTGTCTTACCCAAATTAATCAAAAGAATATTCTTTCACTAGCTATGATAAAAGATGACAAACTGTGCTCACAACCCAGCACTAAAACATTAAAGTGAGAGTGTAAGATTTCATGTTTTCTCACTGAATGTCACACATCCTGTAAGAAGCCCTGAACTCCAAGTCAATGTCTGCCCACTGACTATGTCATCTTATGGAAGTAACTTCCTTTTGCTAAACTTCACTCTGCTTATTAAAAAACAAAACCCACATTATTTTCAATATGATTTGCTTTTTCAATGTGATCTGAAAAATATAGCTTGTCACTGGCATCACTGCTGAGTTGGGAATGCATTCTGGTCAGTCAACAAGTACATTTCTTGAGTGTCAACACAATGTGAATTTTACTCAGGTTACCAAGAAGGAAAACTGAGCTCTTATCCTATAGAGTTCACCCTCGAGATGAGAAAAAAAGATTGGCAAGATGGGGAAATAGTGAGGCTGGGGAGAGATTGTCAGAAGGGGCCTGGGGACTGATGCGTGACACAGTGCTCATGTTGTAAGTTGTAGGCAGAAAGAACTTTTAAGAGTTAGAGTTATCAAAACAAGCTTCTCTGATGTTGAAGGGAACCTTGAATGATGAGTAGGGTATAGAAGACAAAAACCTGGGGAATGTTGGAGATGAGCGAGGAGAGAAAATGTGTTGCAGAGGAATCCCTATTCAAACAAAAACCCTATGAATGGCCCAACCAGCCTACGCTCCTGACCGCCTGGAGAGGAAGGGAAGCCAGCCTCACCGAGTTCATCCGTGATGAGGTGCTTCCCTTGAATGGAGTTGCGGCACTGATTGCTCGGACGACTGCTATTGCCCAAGTTAAACTGCACTTTCCACGGGATGGGCTGATTATGGTCATGAACCTGGAGGAGATTCCTATCTCTCACTGCCCTCTCCTCCTGCAAAGAAACCATAAGTGAGAAGGTTAAGTATCCAGTATCCTTTCTTACAATTTCACCAGTTTTTCACAGAAACTACAGTAAGAGGACAGAAATACTATAAAAGGCTTACACTACCAGAATCTGCCCTCTCCTGGTACAAGCAAAGCCTGAGCCAAAGTCATAAAATAAACCTGTAGGAAAAAGTAATAAGCTAGTGCTATGCTTGAAAACTGGCATACTTACATGCGTGGCTCCTGGATGGCATGCACATCATAAATGTGTATAAAAGTGTTAATTTTATGAAAAAATTGGAGAGGAAAAGTTTTGGACTTTTTCTTTCTGATGGCAAGTAATTTAAAATATTTTTCACATTAAAACAAATACATTGTGGAACAGAACTTAAAATGTGAATACACTTTTTAAAGAGCAGAAGAAACTTTCGTGACTCTCATCTCAGACATCTAGAGCACAAAATCCCTTTCATTTGCAGTTACAGGTACTTTGGGTGGAAGACGTTTGGGAAAACGTGAATTAGGACATTGATTTTAGGAGCAAAATGAAGCATGTCAACTTGTGAATTTCTTCTGTGAAGGACCACTGAGTATGTAACCCGCTACGGAACACACCCAGGCCGGCCAGCCCTCTACCCGGACAAGCAATTGGAAGAGTTGCCCTGGAGTCAAGAGTTGAAGATCATCTCTTCTGGTCTTGAAGCTATGTCCGCTAGGAGCCAGCTTACAAAACTGCCTTTTCTATACTGTTTTCTATACTGTTATAATCTTTTCTATACTGTTAAAAAAAAAACTAAAGAGGAAGCTGCCTAAGTGCTAGAAAACAAGCCGAGCTTGAGACGGCCTCTTCTGAACGCTTCAGTAAGCTACTGGATAATAAAACAATGATGGACTTGAAACATTCACTGTTCTAACGGAGTTCTGTGGCTTTTACCTTTCAAAATAACCTGTCATGTGTTGCTTTTTAAGCAAAAGGGACTAATCTTGAAAATTTGATGAAGAAGCTTATATACTTAAAAAATGGTAAAGATCTTTATCGTTACTAAAATTTATCTAGGAAAGTAATCTAGGAAGTTCTGTTCGTATTTTAAAAATATATGTCTACATACACTTTGGCCCAGGAAACTCAGGTCTGTCCTATGGAAAACACCAATGTATAGGGAAATACAAGGATGTTTACTACATGATCGTTTCGATGGTATAAAAAACCTGAAACCTGCCGGGTGTGGTGGCTCATGCCTGTAATCCCAGCACTTTGGGGAGGCCGAGGCTGGTGGATCACCTAAGGTCAGGAGTTCAAGGTCAGCCTGGCCAACATGGTGAAACCCCATCTCCACTAAAAATACAAAAATTAGCCGGGCGTGGTGGTAGAATTGCATGAACCCAGAAGGTAAAGGTTGCAGTGAGCCGAGATCACACCACTGCACTCCAGCCTGGGTGACAAGAGCAAAACTCCATCTCAAAAACAAACAAACAAAACCCCTGAAACCCCAATAACAGAGAAATGACTGAATGAACACTGGTATAACAATACTGTTACAACCAAACTGAGATACGACTGATAGCTATTTAACTAGAGTAGCAGCTCTACAAACTGACTTTTGCACATTAGATTAATGTAGGGAGCATAAAAACAAATTCTGATTCCTAAGCCCACCTATGGGCAGGAAAATCTGTGGAGACCTGGGAATCAGTATTTTTAAAGTACCTAGATGATTTTAATACATAGACAGGGTTGCAGACCACTGCATGCCTATAGTGTATTATCAAGGGAAAAAGCAAGTTGCAGAATAATGTGCCTATCACACATATTATGATAATAATTATGATAATATGCACATATAAGTTTGTAAGAGCTAAGATAATGGTATGGAAAGATATACAGTAGTCTCTCTTACCCATGGTTTTACTTTCTGAAGTTTAACAGTTACTCGCAGTTAACTGTGGTCCAAAAATATTAAATAAAAAACTGCAGAAGTAAACAGTTCCTAAGTTTTAAATTGAGCACTGTTCTAAGTAGCATGGTGCAACCTCACGCCATCCCATTCCGTCCCGCCCGGGCTGTGCATCATTCCTTTATCCAGCATATCCATGTTAGTCACTTAGTAGTCACTCAGTTACCAGGTGGAAAAACAGTATGGATAGGGTTTGGTACTAGCCGCAGTTTCAGGCATCCACTGAGGGTCTCAGAACAGATAAGGGGGAACTACTATACTACAGACTACTAACATGGGAGGGACGTATGTGGTTATTAAAATTATCTTTAATCATTTTGGGAATATTTTTAATTTAAAATAAAGTGATAACATTAAAAACAGGATTATTAATAACAGAAGGAAATTAAGTAAAGATTCTGTAGAACTTTCTATTATACTTAGTACTTTTCTGGCCGGGCGCCATGGCTCACACCTGTAATCCCAACACTTTGGGAGGCCAAGGCGGGCGGATCACGAGTTCAGAAGATCGAGACCATCCTGGCTAACACAGTGAAACCCCGTCTCTACTAAAAATACAAAAAAATTAGCTGGGCGTGGTGGCGGGCGCCTGTAGTCCCAGCTACTCAGGAGGCTGAGGCAGGAGAATGGCATGAACCCGGGAGGCGGAGCTTGCAGTGAGCCAAGATTGCGCCACTGCACTCCAGCCTGGGCGACAAAGTGAGACTCCGTCTCAAAAAAAAAAAAAGAACTTTTCTGTAAATATATAATTATTCAAAAAATTGTTTGAAAAACACGATTACCAACATTAAAGGCAAAAATTGTCCATAATCCCATCAACTTAAATAAATTCTATTTCTTTTTGCATATTAACTTCTAGCTTTTGACCTCAACATTTACACAAATTAGGATGTTTTGCATTCAGCTCTTCTTGACACTAATTGGATAGTAAAACATTTCCAAGTCCCTACATTATCTTGATAATCACATTTTCAAGGCCATCTAATAATCCATCATGTTGATGTGCCATCATTTAGTAAACACATCCTCTATAGATCAATATTAGGCCCAGGTTTTTGTTATCATAGATAATACTGCAATAAAATGTGGAGCTTTTAAAACAATTCTCTTGAATAACTTGTAGTAAAATGCTATGTAGTGCCAAATAATGTCCCACATTACATCTACCACCTGTAATAGTACCAGCATTTAAATAACAGTGTTTACAATTTGACCACAACCCCACCAGTAGCGGATTTTGTTCTTTAATTTACCGTCTTTCAAGGTGGCTTTAATTTCTATTCTGCTCCCTCCCTTTTGTTTCTTTGCAAAGAAAGAACTGGTACTAGCAGGACCGGGAGGGGGGCGGTTATACAAAAGCAACATCTGTATTCCTCAGTTATTGCAAGAAGAGGAGCTAGGTGCAGGAGCCCTGGGAGTATGGGACAAATCACTTAGGTGCATGCTGCTTAACTACCTGTAAATTCATACTCTTCTGCTCTACTGGGACCCTATCAGTTAACTGCATCCATCAAGCTATGTGCAAACTAAACTGAGCTGCAAATGCTACCCTAGATAAATTAATAGCCATAAAGATTATTAAGAGCTTGGTCAAAGTACAGTAAACTGGATTTTACGACAAGGTTAAAAGTGCTCTTAACATTACTCCCACGCTATCCTGTTGTTCTTCCAAAAGAAAACAAGAGTTCACAGTCAAGTGCATCCCAGAAGGACCCCTGCCACATCATGACATTCCTGGTAAACAGGAAAGCAATTCTCCCAGCACTTCAATGCGTTTCCAAACACGAATATTCAAGACCTTGCCAAAAGGACAGTGAAAGCATGTGGCAGAAATAACTTAGCAATGTTTGCTTTTTTGAAGGCCCAGTCTTGCAAAGGGTGCTGAGGACATTCCTTCACAGGATAGGGAGCTTTCTACCTTTCCTGAACTGTTTCACCTACCCTATTAGGTTGTCTCAATTTTAAGCTTTTCTTCATATTTATATTTTTTCACTCGAAATTCATTCAAAGATATCTAGTTCTTACAGAATGCTAAGGATGCAGAGATGAACGGCAGTCTGGTTCTGTATTCGAAGAGCCTCAGAGCTGTTGAGAAAGGGGTACCTCCATATATCAGTGCGATCAGGCACTGCAGATGCTGTGACACATGTCCACATGGGGTGCACTAGGTACAAAGAGAAGAGCAGGAGCCAAAAGTACATGAGGGCTTTCTTCCTAATTGTAAAGAGCTACAGAAACACACTGTGATTACTAATGCGTTGCTTTGTGTCTCACTTCAGAAGGGCTGTATTCATAACTGTGCTGTGTACTTTTCAGGAGTTATCACAGGTCAAGTGAGATAAATGTCCCATGTAAGCAGTAAAGCACGGAAACATAAGGCACTCTTATGAACCTCAGAAAAAGAGGGGAGGGGGAGAAAGGCCAGAGGGTACTCCAAATGTCTAGTATTTGGGAAATGGCTAAATGCAGCCTGATAATGGAAATTTTTAGTTATAAAAATCCTATTTCCAAAGAGCTTTTAAAGATAGGGAAATGCTTATATGTTAAATGAAGAAACAGTATGCCTCAACTATACAAACAAGAAGGATGAAAAATGGCAGGAAGAAAATATGCCCAAATATGAACAGTGGATGCCTCTGGTTAGTGAGATTATGGGTAACTGTTCCTCTCCTCTACCCTGTGCAATACGAGACAAACATTCTGCAATATATATATATCTCTCTCTCTTAATAATCAGTGCAAAACAAAAAAATCCCCACCAAATTAGCAAGTCTCATATTATATGATATATACTTCACTCTAGACAGTATCTAACTTGGCACCAATTTACACACTTAGCTCCTTTAAGGCTGAACACGTTCGTAGATTTTCAAGGAGTTATGCAAACAGCCCTGAGACTTTCAGGAGCTGCACCACTTGAACACGTATGAGAACATCTGGTTACACGAGAGGAACTCTAAGGACCCTTCTGACTCCCAAGATGGGAACTTGTTTAATCTCAGGTCAAATGCCTCGCATAGTTAGGCCCGCCCTGCCACTAGATCATGTCATCCTGTTTTGTTTTCTTCATAACATACATCATTATCTGAAATCATTTTGCTTATTTACTATCTCTCCTCCTTACCCGCTAGTGGAATATAGGCTCTTGGAGGGGAGAGACGTCATCTGCTTTGCCCACTCTGTCTCTGCCATCCAGCAGAACAGTGCCTGGCACACAGTTGGTGTTATTTGTTAAATAAATGCACCCAAGAAACCTGGTACCATTCACCATTCCCAACCCTCCCCTCAATGGCATCCCCACCATCATCACTGATTTCTTCTGCCTCCCATCTCTACAATTTAAGTTATCCCCCATAGCATTAATTAACATGAAAACCAAAGAAAAGAGGAATTCAAAGCAGCAGAGAGGATAATCAACTATTCTCCAGGCAAAAGCTGCCGCATCTGCGCCATGAGTTTCCAGTCTCACCGCAGCGGAGCTAAGGTGCACGGGGAGCTTCACAGTGTTCATAGCGTCTTCTCCATCAACGGTACACACCCTGGACCCGTACACTCCATCTCACCATCTCCATTTTACAGAGGAAGAACCCCAACTCCCTCAAGGCCCACAGCTAGGGAGTGGAAGACCACCCAAACTGAGGCCAGCTGAGCAGGGACGGCCAAGTCAGACGCATGCAGGAGCGCCTCTGCCAGAGCACCCAGGACAGCGGGGCTCAAAAGCCTTTGGTCCTGGAACCCTTTCTAATCTTAAAAATTACTGAGGACCTCAATATGTGGGTTTATGTGAGTTATGGCTATTGATGCTTACCATATTGAAAATTAAAACATAAATCCTTAAAATGTTTATTTTAGATCGTTTTTATTCATTTAAAAATAACAACAATGAATTCGGTACATGAGTTTTTTGTGAAAAAACACTTAAAAAAATAGTAAGGAGAGGGGCAATGTTTTTATATTTCTGCAAACCTTTTTAATGTCTCCCTCGATGGAAGACAGCTGAATCTCCGAAGCGACCTCTATATTCAATATCTGTCACAATATATTGTCTGGGTTGGAATACACCAAGAAAATCTATTCCACACAAATGTGTAATTGGAAAAGGGAGGACTACTTTAACAACTTTTGCAGAAAATTATGGATAATACTAAAGCATACTTGACACTAAATACTACACCAGAATTTGACAGCTGCAGGTTCCTAAAAGTTCACTGCACACAGTGCAGCCAGTTTGGAAAACAGTTGTGCAGTTCCTCAAAAAGTTTAACACAGATTTACCATCTGACCCAGTAATGCCACTCCTAGGAATATACCAAGAGAAATTAAAACATGTCCACATGAAAACTTGTAAATGAATGTCTGCAACAGCGTTATTCATAATAACTAAAAGGTGGAAACAACCCAAATGTCTCTCAATAAAGAATGAATAAACAAAATGTGACAGATGCACACGATGGAATATTATTCGGACATAAAAATGAAGTGCTAATACATGCTAGGACATGGATGAACTTTGAAAACATTATGCTAAATGCAAACGCCAATCAAAAAAGACCACATATTATAGAATGCCAATTATATGAAATATCTAAAATAGGCAAAACTATAGAAACAAAGTAGATTACTGATTGCTTAGGACTGAGGGGCAGGGGGAAGATGATGATGAAAATGTTTTAAAACTACTGGTTTGTGAATATACTACTTTTTTATTTTTGTTTTTATTTTTATTTATTTATTTATTTATTTTTTGAGACGGAGTCTCGCTCTGTCGCCCAGGCTGGAGTGCAGTGGCGCAAATCTCGGCTCACTGCAAGCTCCGCCTCCAAGGTTCATGCCATTCTCCTGCCTCAGCCTCCCGAGTAGCTGGAACTACAGGCACCCACCACCACGCCCGGCTAATTTTTTGTATTTTTAGTAGAGACAGGGTTTCACTGTGTTAGCCAGGATGGTCTCAATCTCCTGATCTCATGATCCACCCGCCTCGGCCTCCCAAAGTGCTGGGATTACAGGCGTGAGCCACCACGCCCAGCCTTATTTTTACTTTTTAATTTTTTTTTTGAGACAGTCTTGCTCTGTCACCCAGGCTGAAGTACGGTGGTGGATCCTGGCTCAATGCAACTTCCACCTCAGGTTCAAGTGATTCTCCTGACTCAGACTCCCGAGTAGCTGGGATTACAGGCACCTGCCACCACACCCAGCTAATTTTTGTATTTTTAGTAGAAACAGGGTTTCACCATGTTGGCCAGACTGGTCTGAAACTCCTGACCTCAGGTGATCCACCCATCTCAGCCTCCCAAAGTGCTGGGATTACAGGCTGAGCCATCATGCCCAGCCTGTGAATATACTACAAACAAGCGTTACATACTTTAAATGGGTGAACTGTATGATATGTGAATTATATCTCAATAAAACTTACCAAAAAACCCAGTTCCTTCAGCACAATGTGGCATCTGAAACCATATCAATGAATTTTTCATAAACTGTTCAGATCCATGAGTCTGTGTTGCACATTGAACAGATCTTACGCAGATCTTCTAATTGACACATTTTCATTATACAATACTAAAAAAAATCACACTTGTTAATATCACCAGGGATTTAATCTTTAGGTGTTAGAAAGTTACAAGCTAAGCGTAGCAGATACGCATTTTCCAAAATTCTAATTTTCACTTGAAAGCTTAAATATTATCATTGGCAAATAATGTCAGATGTTTTCTGTAAAGTAACAAGCTCACTTCATTTTCAAGAAAATGTCTACCAAATACCCAAATCTGAATAACTAGTGTATCAGTTGTTCTTTCAAGAAAAAATAGTGTTCCATGAAAAAAAGTGGCTACTTAAGCTTGCAGCTCAATTGCCAAAGCTCTTCCTCAAGACACCCATCATATTTCTGTAGGCAGAACGTACTGTTAGGCATATTTCCCATTTCATTCTACAGGAAAGATATGTACTTGGGGATCAAAATTTAGCAAAAGTAATAATTTTGACTGCTTTATTCTTAAGTGAAATTAGTACTTTTTAAAAAAACTACAAGTATGGCCGTGAAGAATACGACAACTAGTAGCACAGTCTGCTGCCGCTGCTTTGACCCTTGCTAAGGTACTGGCTTGACCCCCCATGACTTCTGCACCATCAGTGGAAGTGTCAACAAGGTGAAAAAAGCAAATAACATTTTGTCGTTATTCTGAAAAGAATTCTGGCCTTGCAGATCCCCTGACAGAGTCTCAGGGGCCCTCTGGGGTCCACAGACCACATTTTGGAACCCAGTGGGTTAGGTTATTATAAAAAACTAAAGGCTGGGTGCAGTAGCTCATGCCTATGATTCCAGCACTCTGGGAGGCTGAGCCAGGCCATTGCTTAAACCCAGGAGTTGGACACCAGCCTGGAAAAAATAATGAGGGCCCATATCTACCAAAAAAATAAATTAATTAATTAGCTGGGTGTGGTTGCCCACGCCTGTAGTCCCAACTACTTGAGAGGCTGAAGTGGAAGGATCCCTTGAGCCTAGGAATTCGAGGCTGCAAAGAGCTATGACGGTGCCACTTTACCCCAGCCTGGATGACAGAGCAAGACCCTGTACCAAAAACAAACAAATAAACAAAACCAAGTTAAAAAAAAACCCTAAGCCTCAGTGGCTTCACAGAAGATTGTTTCTTGCTCATGCTACAAGTCTAACATGGGTAAGCCGAGGGGTTCTGCTCATCCTAGTCCCTCAGGCTGAATGAGGCCCCCTCTCAGCACATGTCCTCCACGGTCACCACGGCTTCTGCCTGCAAGTGACAGTTCACATTGTATAAGCCAATGCAGGCCACACAGCCACCCTCCTTCCAAAAGGGTGGGAGCCAATCCCACCATGCACCCAGAGGAGGATGACCAACTCCTTGTGAACAACCCTGCTAACTACTACCCCAGGAGATCAGGCAAGGACATAATGAGTCACTGAGTGGTCCAGTGGAGGGCAGATCCCAAGATCTAAAGGACTGCAGCTTGGCTCAGTTAGTTCCCCAACTGCTGCTGGAGCAGACATAGACCCAGTGCTGACAAGTATCCTGGTATTTCAAGAGAAGCCAGAAGAAAGGATTTATATAAAATCTCATACATTTTTAATCCCTTTTTAAAAATACCGGCCAGGCACAGTGGCTCACACCTGTAATCCCAGCACTTTGGGAGGCCGAGGCGGGTGGATTGTTTAAGCTCAGGGGTTCAATACCAGCCTGAGCAACCTAGTAAAACCCCATCTCTACTAAAAATACAAAAGGCTGGACGCACTGGCTCATGCCTGTAATCCCAGCACTTTGGGAGGCCGAGGCGGGCAGATCATCTGAGGTCAGGAGTTCGAGACCAGCCTGGCCAACATGGCGAAACCCCGTCTCTACTAAAAATACAAAATTAGCGAGGCATGGTGGTGCACGCCTGTAATCCCAGCTACTCAGGAGGCTGAAGCAGGAGAATCACTTGAACCTGGGATGAGGCGGTTGCAGTGACCTGAGATTGCATCACTGCACTCCAGCCTGGGTGACAGAGTGAGACCCCATCTCAAAAAACAAACAAAACAAAACAAGAAAACAATAAAAACCATGCAAGCAAAACCAAGGTTGTATGTTACCCATTTCATCTCTATCATGATGGTTACAAATTGAGAATGTGGGCTTTAAAATCAGGTGGCCCTGAATCAGAGTCCCAGCCTGAGCCATCACAAAGAAACAGTAGCCCTAAGCACAAGGAATTCCTACAAAGTGACAGAGACATCCAATAGTAAAATGGTCAAAGGACATGATAAGGCCACTTCAGATGCACAACAGTCAAATTACCAAAACCAGTAAGATGTTCATCTTCAACCACTAGTCAGGGAAATATACAGCACAGTAATAAAGATGGGGAATAAATCTGTAAGGTTATCTGAAAAAAGCGTTTTAAGTGTTACTGAAGGACACAGAAGAAGGCAGGATGTGGAGGGGGAGACAGGGATACTGGTGATCCTGACCCTGTGAAGGCCTAGGCTAACGTGTGTGCTCGTCTTAGTTTTTTTCTTTTCTGAGACGGAGTCTCTGTCGCCCACGCTGGAGTGCACTGGTGCGATCTCGGCTCACTGCAACCTCCGCCTCCTGGGTTCAAGCGATTCTCCTGCCTCAGCCTCCTGAGTAGCTGGGACTACAGGCGCGTGCCACCAAGCCTGGTTAATTTTTTGTATTTTCAGTAGAGACAGGGTTTCACCGTGTTAGCCAGGATGATCTCAATCTCCTGACCTCATGATCTGCCCACCTCGGCCCTCCCAAAGTGCTGGGAATTACAGGCGTGAGCCACTGCGCCCGGCCTCATCTTACTTTTTAACAAAGAAGTTTAAAAAGTAATAAAACAAAATAGAAAAACAGGAAAAAAAGCATATAGAATAAGGATATAAATAAGAAAAATATTTTTGTACAGCTTTACAATGTGTTTGTGTTTTCAGCTAAGTGTTAAACACAGCCAAAAAGTTAAAAAAATTAGTTTATAAAGTAAAAACATTACAGTAAGCCAATGTTAATTTATTATTAAAGAAAAATCTTCAAATCAATGTAGTGTGGCCCTGTGTGGACAGCTGACAGTAGTACACAGTAATGTGCTAGGCCTTCACGAGTTCACTCACCACTCACTCAGTGACTCATCCGCAACAACTTCCAGTCCTGCAAGCTCCACTCACGGTAAGTGTTCTTTATGGGCGTACCATTTTTACTCTTATATTTTTTGAAACACAGTCTCACTCTGTTGCCCAGGCTGGAGTGCAGTGGCGTGATCTCGGCTCACTGCAACCTCCACCTCCCAGGTTCAAGCGACTCTCCTGCCTCAGCCTCCTGCATAGCTGGGATTACAGGCGTGTGCCACCACACCTGGCTAATTTTTATATTTTTAGTAGAGATGGGGTTTTGCCATGTTGGCCAGGCTGGTCTCGAACTCCTGACGTCAAGTGATCTGCCTGCCTCAGACTCCCAAACTGCTAGGATTACAGGCGTGAGCCATCGCACCCAGCCCATTTTATATCTTTTATACAGTATTTTTACTGTACCTTTTCTATGTTTAGATCTATTTAGATCCACAAATACCTTCCATCGTGTTGCAATCACCTACAGTATTCAGTACAGTCACATGCTGTACAGGCTTAGAGCCTAGGAGGAATAGGCTATGCCACATAGCCCAGGGGTGTAGCAAAATCACCTAAAGATGCATTTTTCAGAATCTTGAGCGACGCATGACTATAATCTTAAAATGAAGATGATGTATCAGGGTAGTGAAAAGGTGGTTGTAGGGAAGGTGACAGAGTGGACAGCACCTGAGCCAAGAGGTGAAAGGTTAGCAGAAGTATGCCAGACTGAAAAGAAACATTCATCCCAGTTAAAAAGACTCACTTGTTTGTTCAATCAATATTTGGATTCCCATGAAGTGGCTGGCAGTATCCTAGGGGCTGGAGAGTCTATGAACAAGACAGACAAGGTCTCTGTTCTCAAGAATATTATAGTCTAGAAGAGAGAGTGAGGCAAGACAGATAAGCAAGTAAATGAACAAGAAATGTTCAGTTTGTGATGCCTACCACAAAGAAAATAAAGCAGGTTTATGAGCAAGGAATTGAAGTAATTTACACCGTGTCACCAGGTATGGTCTGAAGCAGTAACAGTCTGACCTGAAATGACAAAAAAGATTCAACCATGCAGAGATCCTGGAAGACAATCCAGAGTTTTATCTGAGAATTTTACCTGGGGAAATGCCATGATGATCCCATCTTTTTAAAGATTATCACCCCTACTGCGGGGAAGAGAAGAAGACAAGAATGGAAGCAGAGACTTGCAGCTGGGCTACTGCAGTGGTCCAGACGAGAGATGCCAGTGGCTTGGCCTAGAGTGACAGCAGTGACACTCTGAAGAAATGAGCAGATTCAGGATACACTCTGGAGGCAGAGCCAATATTGTGGATATAGGGAGTGAGAGGAGAAAAAAAGAATGAAGTGGCTTTAATACCTGGTGAACAGTAATGCCACTGAGCGAGACTGGGAAGACTCGGGGAGGAACAAGTGCTGGCAGAGAATCAAGAGTTCTGTTGGTCCAAACACGAACACATTCAACGTCAACTAGAAAGTAGGAGGGTGGTTGCCGGGGGCTGGGGAAAGGGAGAAATGGAGAGTTATTGTTAAATGAATATTAAGTTTCAGTTTCTACAAGCGTTATGGGGATGGATGGTGGTGATGGTCGCACAGCGTTAAGGATGTATTTAATACCACTGAACTGCACACTTTAAAAATGGTTAAGATGGGGCCGGGCGTGGTGGCTGACACCTGTAATCCCAGCACTTTGGGAGGCCGAGGCAGGTGGATCACTTGAGGTCAGGAGTTCGAGACCAGCCTGGCCAACATGGCGAAACCCTGTCTCTATTAAAAATACAAAAATTAGTCGGGTGTGGTGGTGCATGCCTGTAATCCCAGCTACTCAGGAGGCTAAGGCAGGGAGAACTGCTTGAACCCGAGAGGTAGAGGTTGCAGTGAGCTGAGATCATGCCACTACACTCCAGCCTGGGTAACAGAGTGAGACTCCATGTTAAAAAAGGTTAAGATGGGAAATTCTGGCCAGGCGTGGTGGCTCACACCTGTAATCCCAGCACTTTGGGAGGCTGAGGTGGGTGGATCACCTGAGGTCGGGAGTTCAAGACCAGCCATGACCAACATGGAGAAACCCCGTTTCTACTAAAAATACAAAATTAGCTGGGCATGGTGGCGCATGCCTGTAATCCCAGCTACTCAAGAAGGCTGAGGCAGGAGAATCATTTGAACCCGGGAGGTGGAGGCTGTGGTGAGTTGAGGTCGTCCCACTGCACTCCAGCCTGGGCAAGAGCAAAACTCAGTCTTTAAAAAAAAAAAAAAAAAAAAAAAAAAAAGATGGGAAATTTTATGTCGTATTTTACCACAATAAAAAAAAATTGAAAAAAAAAAAAGATATCAACTAGGCAATTGGATATAAGAATTTGGGGATTTCTGGACAGATCTAGGCTGTTGTTATCAACTACTGGCATCAACAGCATACCTCCAGAGATCACCTGAGTATTTAAACAATGGCCCAGAGATTACCTGAGTCAGATAGAGAGGAAGGCAGAGGACGGAGTCCTGGCGCACCCCACCACTCAGGGGTCACAAGACAGAGAAGGGACAACACGCGACTGTGAGGAGGTGTCTGAGGTGGCAGAAAACACAAGTCACAGAAGTCTGGTAGTCACATGATTGCCCAGACATCCCGGCCAATAAAAGGGACTTACAACACTCAGCCTCTCTGTTTGCCTAAGGTGGCAGGTCACGTACAATTCCCTATTCTTCCCTTTTCACAGCTCCCCTGCCAATCCACTAAATGTAGAGTGACCACATAGTTTTATCAATGTTCTATTCACTTATATATTTTATTTACACACTTGAGCTTTGAGAGTAAAAAGGAGAGCTTTTTATAACCATGTCAGGACAACAGCATAACCCATTATCCTGGGTGCACCCTGGGGTGTAACCACCCTTTCTACACAACTAAGCACTCAACCTGGACTTCTAGACAAACTTATTAATGCTTTGGGTAAGATTTCCCCACCCGTGCTCCTTGCTGTTTCTCCCAGAAATTCTCACATGGAAGAAAAATGAAAGGGTGCAGTGTGTTGGAGGGGTGGAATTCTACCAATCAAGTTATGCACAAAAAGCATAAAAGGAACTGTGGGTCCTTTTGAGTCACCCAGGAGGACACAGAGCCCCCAAATTAAACGAAGGGCACCCATGCGAGGGCTGGCCGACCCTCGCCACCTATGTCTTGGTTTCCCCCACTGTAATACTGGGAACCCCACTTCTCCCAGGCCTGCTGCGAAGATGAAGCCAGCAAATGCACGCCCTCTCTTAGCTCTGGACCGGGCAGGTGAAAAGCAGGGAGGTGTTCATAAAAGCAGTCCCCACCGCTGAAGGGTCCTCAACTCGGGGTTCTAGTCCCAGCTCTGCCCTGGCCTAGCAACCCCTTCCCGCTGCAGGGACCAAGGCGGTGGGCAGGTCCCTCACCCGTGCTGAGACCGGGACAGGAATGCGCACCTCTCCCCACCCTCGGACGCCCCGGCGGCGCCGCTGCAGAAGTCGGGAGGTCGGACAAACGCGAGGAGTAAGGAAAAAGAGGAGGAAGGGAAGGAAGGAGGAAGAACGAAGTGAGGAAAGAGGATGTCAGGGAAGAAAGGGAGTAAAGGAAGAAGGAAGGGAGAGGGGGACAGAAAGGAGGAGGACGGAAGGAGGAAGGGAAGGAAGAAAGACGGAAGGGAAGGGAGAGGAAAAAGGGGAGGAAAGAAGAAAGGGAAGGGGGAGGAAGGAAAGGGGGAGGAAGGAAGGAGGAGGAAGGTGAGGAAGGTAAGGAAGGAAGGGAGGCAGGGAGAGGGGAAGGAAGGAGGAAGATAAGGAAGGAGGGGAGGTAGGAAGAAGGGAAGGAAGGAGGAAGGAAGGGAAGGGGAGAAAGAAAGGAAGGGAAGGGGTAGGAAGACAGGGAGGAAGGAAAAAAGGAGGAAGGTAACGAAGGAAGGAAGGAGAAAGTAAAGTAAGGGGGAGGAAGGAAGGAAGAAGGGAAGGGGAGGAGGGGAAGGGCGGCCACTGACCTGCTTGAAGGTGCTGCTGAGGAAGTAGACGAGCGACAGCCCGAAGACCAGGGCGAGCACCCACCTCTTCCGCAGAAGCCGGCGCCACACCATGGCCGCCAGGTTCACCATCCCGGCGCGGACGTGGGGCGCGGCGGCCGGGGCGCGGAACGCGGCAGGCCCGGGTCCCGGGCGGCATGGCCCCTACGCGCCCGGCAGCCCCATCCCTCCAGGCAGGCGCCGGCCCCGCCGCCCGCAGCCCAGTCTGCTCCCGGCAGCCTTGGGCGCAGCCCCACGTGACCCCGCCCTACGCCCCGCCTCCGCTCCGCAGCGACAAGGGCTAGTCGCGCAAGATCTTCTCACCATTGGTCCCTAAGGAACGGCGGCCTCCTATTGGTTAAGTGCCGGGAAAGGGGGCGGACAATCGCGTGAGTGCTGCGGGCGTAGCTGTGCCCGGGTCCTAGCGCCGGACCCGGCGACGCCAAGAAACCACCCAATAGGAGGCCGGAAGCATCGGAAGTCACATGCTGCCCAGGCTGCGCGGGTGATTGGCTTGGCTGGACCTGAATGATGCGGCTGTGATTGCTGAATTGTCTGGGCAGGTAAAAAGAGAACGCGATTTTTTTTTCTTTTCTCCCATCATGGTCTGTGTAGTCTCCTGCCCTTGCAGTCCCAGAGCGTTTTGCGCTGTGTGTTGGTTGCAGGGATGAAAAGCGCTCGCGACGTTGTTCCCGAAGTGCACCTGCCGGCTTCCAGTCCAAGTGATGCAGGCGATGCTCCTCTGAGTGCATTTCGGTGCAGTCCTGTAACGGGCCCCAGGGGCGCAACTTGAACCATCGCAAGCATCGAAAAGTCTCGGTGCGGTCCTTCAAAGGGACATAGTGGGATGTACAGAGCAGAGGATTAAAAAGCGTTTCATTCATTCAGATGCATCCCGCGTGCAAAAATTTATTCCAGAATTATGTACGGCCTGCTTCCGACAAAGAATCCGAAGCCTCTTCCAATACAAGCATCCGAAAGTAGAGTTTCGAGCATTCGATTTAGGAGTTAAATGTGTGGATGAGAACTTTGGAATATGAATTTTATTTTCCCCCAAGGATTTGCAATGTGGGATAATGGAGGGAGGGGCGAGAGGAGGATTAAGTTGAGATTGCAAATTCTTGAAAAATATTTATATAATGACCTTTTCTTGATATATGAAGATGCTGCTGCTGACCGGTTTGTTACCTAATTTTTCAAAAGAGAAAGGAGGCTTCACTGGCGGGTCATTTTTAATCAGTGGCCCTAGTGACACCATTGCTGCCCCCTCAAGAAGCCTGGTCAGGATTAGGAAGTCATTCAACAGCCAATAATCGTGCCCTAAACTGAAGTCAGACACCATCTGACTGATATAGACACCCTATATCCACAATATTGGCTCTGCCTCCAGAGACAAGAAGATATTCACGGAGGCTAAACCTTTTCATGGGAAGTAGATGGCCCTTATTACCTTGCTAGGGTGAAAGGTGGGACAGGGAGCAAGGGATCTAGAAAAGGGGAACTGGGAGACCCATAGATGTTTTATTCATTGAGTAAATACTTGTTGAGCGCCACTCTGTGCCAAACAGTGTCCTGGATGCTGAGGCAGAGGGGTGATCCAAGTAGACAGGATCCCTACTTTCAGGAATGGCATTTATATTCTAATGGGGAGGACAAATCATAAATAAATAAGCAAACATGAACAAATAAGTGCTATGAATAATATAAAACAGGGCAATATTACGGGGAGTCAGGAGAATGAGAAGAGAAGGCCTCTGGGAAGAGACGACATTTGCCCTGCGGGACCAAGCCCTGCCACATTTAGAGGAGAAAGTATTCCAAGGGGAGGGCACAGCAAGTGCAAAGGCCCTGAGGCAGGGACACGCTGACACATTAGAGGAACAGAAGGGCCACTGTGGGTGGACAGGAGTGGGAAAAGGGAGAATGGGAGGAAATGCAGTTGGAAACAGATGATGCTACATCAGGAAGAACCCGTAGGCTATGGACAGAGCTCGGGTTTGATTCTGATTGCACTGGGCAGCCGTTGGAGGGTTTAAAACATATTTTCTGGCTTCCCCAATCAGGACTCTTAGTTTGACAATAGGATGAAATACAATACCTTAAGAGTTTCAAAGAGGGCCGGGCATGGTGGCTTATGCCTGTAATCCCAGCACTTTGGGAGGCCAAGGCAGGCGGATCACTTGAGGTCAGAAGTTTGAGACCAGCCTGGCCAATATGGTGAAATCCCATCTCTACTAAAAATACAAAAATTGGGTGGGCGTGGTGTCGCATGCCTGTAAGCCTGTAATTTCAGCCACTCAGGAGGCTGAGGCAGGAGAATCGCTTGAACCTGGGAGGCAGAGGTTGCAGTGAGCCAAGATCGCACCACTCCGTCTTAAAAAAAAAAAAGGAGTTTCAAGGGGGGATCACTGAGAGGCTACCCAGAGATACTGAGCAGATGGAATCATCTGCTTATAGCTACCAACAATGTCCTAAGGCTTCTTAGCAGATTCAAGGTATCGCAGGGACTGTTCATCCAGGTGTTCTGTTCCATCCAGGTTTGGAGTCTCTGGCAAGCTCCCCTGACTGTGCATCCCTCTGGAGACGAAGAGGAGGGGGAGGCCTGTCCTCTCTGGGATCCATTGGTCACATCCCCCTGAGGATTCCCGAATGCCTACCTCCAGTGTCGTCAACATGGAGTTCTGAAGTCCATGTGGCTCTTCACAGTGAATCAGGTGACACGTCTCCAAGAGAATTTGCATCTTTATTACTACTTGATTAAATGTGAGAGCTGGAAGGAAGTTTTGGTTTGACCACTCCACCCCTCCCATGTAACACATGGGGAATCTGAACCCACAGAGGGGTTACTGATTTGTCTAGGGTCACAGCAAGTTAGCAGCAGCATCAACCCAGAATCCATGTCTCCTGCCAGTCCGCTGCCCACTTCACTTCATCCAGCACCTCTTGGCTGCACAGTTTACCGCGTTATCCTCTCACATGAGGACTTTCTCCACCTCTGAGTCTCATCGTCCTCCTCTGTGAAATGGGGTGATAGCTTTCCTCATGGGATAGAATGTCACATTGAGGATGGAATGGCATGAAAGATTGAAACATACTTTGGAAAATGCCAGAGAGCACTAGGGGTCTAAGATACGACTAGTGCAGGTTTGCAGTTTACAATTACCTTGGCAATCTGACAGGCAGTGGGAGTGTTGGGAGACTCTGGCTCACCCATGTGTTGGGTTTTAGGTGTTAAGGAAGATGCAGAGACGCCACAGCAGCAACACGGATAACATTCCACCTGAAAGGTAGGCATCCCTGCTTCTGTTCCATCTGAGGGCTCTAGGCTTCGGGTGGTGAGGGGCAACCCAAAACTGGATTGAACAATACCTCACCCTCAGCGTTAGTTGTTAGAGTCACACTGATGGCCTCATACTAAACATTCAACGCATAATAGCTTGCTCTTTCTTTTATGCTAAATTTCAAAGTCCTGTGTGATAGGTGAGCCACCTGACTCATTGTATCAATGAATGTACCTGTGGAATTTTGATTTATAGAGATGTCTTAGTCCATACAGGCTGCTATCACAAAAATATCATAGAATGGGTGGTTTAAACAACAAATGTTTATCTCTCACAGTGCTGGAAGCTAGGAAGTCCAAGATGAAAGCTCCAGCATATTCAGTGTCTGCGAAAGGCCCACTTTCTGGTTCACTGATGGCCATTCTTTTGCTATGTCTTAATGTGGTGAAGGGAAAGGGATCTCTCTGGGTCTCCTTTTTAAGGGCACTAATCCCATTCGTGAAGAGCCCATCTCATCACCTAATCATTCCCAAAGGCCCACCTTCCAATACGATCAAATTACAGGTTAGGTTTCTTTTTTGAGAGAGAGTCTTGCTCTGTTACCCAGGCTGGAGTGCAGTGGTGATCATGGCTCACTATAGCCTCCAAATCCTAGGCTCAAGCAATCCTCCTGCCTCAGCCTCCTGAGTAGCTGGGACTACAGGCATGTGCCACCATACCTAGCTAATTTTTAAAATTTTTTGGTAGAGACGGGGTCTCACTAAGTTGTCCAGACTGGCCTCAAACTCCTGGGCTCAAGCGATCTTCCTACCTTGATCTCTCAAAGCCCTGGGATTATAGGTGTGAACCACTGCACCTGGCATGGGTTAGGTTTCAACATAAGAATCTACACAAACATTGAGATCATAGCTCTGAGAAACAACACGGAGAGGCTAATGACATTGAAAGATGAGATTTTTATTTCTTCCATTTCTCAAGATGAAGGGGCATACTACTGCTTGCAGGGCCACCTGGGGAAGCACCAGCAATAGTCAGAGGGCAGAAAGGACCGAGGAAAAAGCATAGGCCACAGCCTTTATTGTGTTTTCTGGGGGAAAGAAAGGCAAGGCAGGGGCAATAGTTTAGGACTGGCTAGTTTGAATCATGTTGGTGGGCTCTGGGGTACCGAGGTGGTTTCTTTTTTTTTTTTTTTTTTTTGAGATAGGATCTCCCTCTGTTGCCCAGGCTAGAATGCAGTGGCACGATCTCGGCTCACTGCAGCCTCGACCTCTCAGGCTCAAGCAATCCTCCTACCTCTCAGCCTTCCGAGTAGCTGGGACTAAAGGCATGCACCACCATGCCCGGCTAATTTTTGTATTTGTAGGGACAGGGTTTTGTTATGTTTCCCAGGCTAGTCTCAAACTCCCGGGCTCAAGCGATCTGTCCGACTTGGCCGCCCAAGCTCCTGCTCGCTGGGATTATAAGCGCAAGCCACCACGCCTGGCCTCAAGGTGCTCTTTAGTTTGGTGTCTGGCCCTAGATGATTTAGGACAGGAGAAATATTGGCTGCGTGTGTAAAACTTAGATGAAGGAAGGGCCATGCAGTGACTCACGCCTGTAATCCCAACACTTTGGGAGACCAAGGTGGGAGGATAACCTGAGTCCAGGAGTTAGTTGGAGACCAGCCTAGGTGACATGAGGAGATCCTGTCTCTACTAAAAAACTTTAAAACTAGCCACGTATGGTGGTGCATACCTATAGTCTCAGCACTTTGGGAAGCCAAGGTGAGAGGATTGCTTGAGCCCAGAAGTTTGAGATCAGCCTGGGCAAAATAGGGAGACCCTATCTCTACAAAAAATAAAAACTTACCCAGCATGGTGGCATGCATCTGTGGTCCTAGTTATGCAGGAGGCAGAGGTGGGAGGATTGCTTGAGCCCAGGAGGTGGAGGTTGCAGTGAGCTATGATTGCACCACTGCATTCCAGCCTGGGCAACAGAGTGAGACCCTATCTCAAAAAAAAAAAAAAAAAAAAAAAAAAGGTTAAATGAAGCAGTGGTTGGGGTTATGGGCTCTGGATCACAAGGACATGTAAATAACTTTGGCCGTTAGTTTGGCCCTGTGATTAATAGATACCAGGTAGAATCTAAAAAAAAAAAAAAAAAAAAAAAAAAAAAAACCGGTTAAAAAACACTCATGAGCTAGAATTTTTTTTTTTTGAGATGGAGTCTTGCTCTGTCACCAAGGCTGGAGTGCAGTAGTACAATCTCAGCTCACTACAACTTCCGCCTCCTGGGTTCAAGCTACTCTCATGCCTCTGTCTCCCGAGTAGTTGGGACCATAGGCACGCACCACCACGTTTGGCTAATTTTTTTGTATTTTAGTAGAGATGGGGTTTCACCATGTTGGCTAGGCTGGTCTCGAACTCCTGAGCTTGGGCAGTCTGCCCACCTCAGCCTCCCAAGGGGCTGGGATTACAGGCATGAGCCACTGCACCCAGCCTAGAATTTATATCTATTGAAACCCAAGAGGGAACACACCTGGGGGCCTGTTCTCAGATTGGGACAGCCTCCAGCCCCAGAAGCCCTGTCCTAGCACATACATCCAAGGGGCGGGCAGCCAAGCCTTCCCTTCCTCACATCCCATACCCCCTGCGACTCTGGGGTTGGCTACAGAATCACAAATGGTATCCCCCGGTCCCAGCACTGGGACTGAGTTTTGTATGGTGCCTGCCTGTTCTGCAGGGAAGAACACGGGGCTCAGCCAAACCCCAGCTCAGCCACTTCCCACCTGTGGTGACTTTGATACATGACTTCACCCCTAGGTCTCAGCTTCTCCATCCAAAAATGGCAGGTAACAGAACTCAAGAGTTGCTTATGGGCCAGGCATGGTGGCTTATGCCTGTAATCCCAGCACTTTGCGGGGGTAAGGCAGGCTGATCACCTGAGATCAGGAGTTTGAGACCAGCCTGGCCAACATGCTGAAACCCCATCTCTACTAAAAATACAAAAATTAGCCAGTGTGGTGGCAGATGCCTGTAGTCCCAGCTACCCAGGAGGCTGAGGAAGGAGAACCACTTGAACCCTGGAGGTGGAGGCTGCAACGAGCAGAGATCATGCGACTGCACTCTAGCCTGGGTGACAGAGTGAGACTCCTCCTCAAAAAAAAAAAAAAAAAAGAGTTGTTTATGGATGAAGGAGTGAGTGTGAAGATGCAGAAACAGCATCCGGCTTGTAATAAGCCTGCCTGTTGGAACCTTTTCCGCCTCTAAAGACAACATTGTCATCTGCTCTCAAGTGAACCATGAGATCTCTTGCGGGCAGAGAGCACAGCAGGAAACTCAAACCGTGTATTGAGTGCTTATGCTGTGCCAACCGCCACATTAGCCCAGTGAGAGCACCCATTTTACAAATGCAGAAGCTGAGGCTCAGAGAGGGGAAGGAAATTACCTAAAGTCACACAGCCAGGAAGTAGCAGGGCTGAGATTTGGGCCCCCATCCCTGTGTCCCCCAGCACCTGTGCTTTGAGATAGCACATTTTGGCTGCCTAGTGTCTGAGCAGAACCACTTTTCCTCCTGGGTTGCCTCAAGCTCTGGCGCTTAAGTGGTTAAGTTGGAAGCACAGCCTCTGTCCCCCTAAGGAATATTCTTTCCCAGTCAGGCTGAAATCTCGGCTGGATGCAGGGGAGAGGCCCAGGGAAGGGAGGCCAGCTATAAAAAGCCCCTTGGTGAGTTGAGTCTTCCCTGGTTGTACTGGAGGCCCCTGAGCCCAGTGAACTCAGAGTGCTGGCAAGCTCAAGGGGGACAGGATGGCTTTCTAGGGCCCCTTGGGTGGCCACGGAGAGAGAGTGGCCTCCTCATGGACCAACATGGGTACCTGCCAGGGCTCTTGCTTTCTGAGCTGAGCTCTTTGAAGTGCAGAAAAAGCTCAAGGCCCCTTGAGGATCATAGCCATGGTGTTTGCTGTTGTTGTCATTATTAATATTATCATTATTATTATCCAGAGCCCAGTGGAGGAGGAGCGCATATTTCCTGGGCTTTTGGAGCCAGCAGGGGTGGGGCTTGGTGAGGGAGGGAATCCAATCGTGAGTTTCCTCCATTGCACCAGATTTTTTTTTTTTTTTTTTTGAGATAGAGTCTCACTGTGTTGCCCAGGCTGGAGTGCAGTGGCACAATCTCAGCTCACTGCAACCTTTGCCTCCCCGGTTCAAGCGATTCTCCTGCCGCAGCCTCCTGAGTAGCTAGGATTATAGGCATGCACCACCATGCCCGGCTAATTTTTGTATTTTTAGTAGAGAGGGTTTTTTGCCATATTGGCCAGGCTGGTCTCAAACTCCTGGCCTCAAGTGATTCTCCCACCTCAGCCTCCCGAAGTGCTGGGATTACATGTGTGAGCCACCACACCCAGCCTGCTTCAAACTCCTGACCTCAAGTGATCTGCCCACCTCAGCCTCCCAAAGTGCTGGGATTATAGGCATGAGCCACCATGCCTGGCCTCACTAGGTTTTTAGTAACATACCTGCAGGCCCAGTTTGTGCAGCCAGGGAAACCACCGTGTCCCACTGCTGTGTGTCACAGGTGTTCTGCAAGCTGTTAAATGGTTTTTCATGGATAAAAAGAATTCTGTGGTCAAATAAGTTTGGGGAACACTGGGCTTAAGCAAAGTCCATTATTTCACTTGCAGGCCTTCTCAGAGCGTTTAGTATGCCTGTTCATGTATTCTTTCAAACACTTTTTATTAAGCATGTTCTGAGTGCCAGGTGCATTGTGCCGGGTGGTAAAGATACAGTGGGGAGCAAGGTTATGGTCTTTGACCTTGTGGAGTGGAGCTCTGTCCAAAGCTATGGTTTGCAGCACTGACCACACATTAGAATCACTGTAGCGGGGGGCAGTGGGGAATGGTGGCTCATGCTTGTAATCCCAGCACTTTGGGAGGCCAAGGCGGGTGGATCACTTGAGCTCCGGAGTTCGAGACCAGCTTGGCCAACATGGTGAAAACCCATCTCTACAGAAAATACAAAAATTAGCCAAGCATAGTGGCGCACACCTGTAATCCCAGCTACTCGGGAGGCTGAGGCATAAGAATCACTTGAGCCCGGGAGGCAGAGGTTGCAGTGAGCCGAGATCGCGCCACTGCACTCTAGCCTGGGTGACAGAGGGAGACCCTGCTCAAAAAAAAACAAGAATCACTGAGGGGACTCTGAGTAACTTCAGGTGCTGGGGCCCACCCATAAAGATTTTGATTCAGTTGGTCTCCAGTGGGGTCGGGGCACCTGTCTTTTGCAAAAGCTCCCCCAAGTGATTATAATATATGGCCAGGATTGAGAGCCACAGGTCTCAAGGGAAAGATGAGGAATAAAATAACAGCTGTGATCAATCCTGTGCAGGTGACATGAGGGTGCAGTGAGAGCAAGGAGCAGGGGACTGTCATTGTCTAGGAAGGAGTGAAGCCTCAATCCAGGGAGGGAGATTTTAGCTGAAATCTGACAGATGAGCGTGCATTACCTAGTTGGGATGGGGTACGGGTTAGGGGAGACATCCGGTGAAGGTGATAGCCTGTAGTAGAAAGCCCTTGAATGATGAGAAAGGGGCACATGATAAGATTGGAGTTTGGAGTCAAATAATCCAGGGCGCCTGGCAACTTCATCTCTCTGAGCCTCAGTTTGTTTGTCAGTAAGGAACATGATATTTGGGAATGATATTTGTACCTGTCTAGAGGGTTCCTCTGAGACCATGGGAAGGAACACAGAATGGGAAGCCCTGGGAGGGCTTTTAGTGGGATCGTGAAATAATCAAATACAGTCAGCCCTCCATATTCATGGGGGAATTGGTTCCAAGACCCCACGGATATGATAATATGCAGCTGCTGAAGTCCCTGGTATAAAATGGCTAGGACAGTCAGCCTTTTGTATCTGTGGGTTTTGGTCCACGACTCAAGGTTGGTTGAATCCTTAAATACAGATGCTGGACATATGTGTTTTATTATTATTTATTCATTTACTTATTTATTGAGAAAGCATCTTGCTCTGTCACCCAGCCTGGAGTGCAGTGGCGTGATCTTAACTCACTGCAACCTCCACCTCCTGGGCTCAAGCCATCCTCCCACCTCAGCCTCCCCACTAGCTGGGACTACAGGTGCGTGCCACCATGCCTGGCTACTTTTTAATTTTTTGTAGAGACAGGTTCTTGCAATGTTGCCCAGGCTGGTCTTGAACTCCTGGGCTCAAGCAATCTGCCCACCTTGGCCTCCCAAAGTGCTGGGATTATAGGCGTGAGCCACCATGGCTGGTCTTTTATATATTTTAAAACATATTTCCTGGAGCCAATTGCAGTGGCACATGCCTATAATCCCAGCTACTCAGGAGGCTGAGGTGGGAGGATCACTTGAGCCCAGGAGTTTGAGGCTCTAGGGAGCTATGATCACACTATTCCAGCCTGGGCAACAGAGTGAGACCCCCGTCTCACTCTGTGGATAATGGTCTCATATAATAGATGATATGAGATCAAGTATGAAAACAGTGGAAAATTTCCACCAAAGCCTCCCTCCTGCTGCCATTTCGGACTGAATAACATCTGGCATACATTTATTAAGCACCTACTGTGTGCCCTGGGTTGTGGGGTCCAGAGGATGAATGAAGCCCAGCCCATTATCAGTAAGCTCATGGTACATCTGGAGTCTCTTAGTGGTCTGTGGAGGTGCCTGCAGGGTGAGAGAAGGAGGGAGTGGCTCTTTGTCCTCCTGCTCCCCAACACATGCACGTCGAGCACATCGGCTCCGCTTGCATCTGTGGTGTGGACTGAGTTTGCAATGTAGTGATTCCACTTGAAAAGAGGATGAACCCTCGGCCGGGCACGGTGGCTCATGCCTGTAATCCCAGCACTTTGGGAGGCCGAGGCGGGCAGATCACATGAGGTCAGGAGTTCAATACCAGCCTGGCCAACGCGGTGAAACCCTATCTCTCTAAAAATACAAAAATTAGCCGCACATGATGGCAGGTGCCTGTAGTCCCAGCTACTCGGGAGGCTGAGGCAGGAGAATCGCTTGAACCTGGGAGGCGGAGGTTGCAGTGAGCTGAGATGGCACCACTGCACTCCAGCCTGGGTGACAGAGCAAGGCTCTGTCTCAAAAGAAAAAAAAAGAAAGAAAAGAGGATGAACCCGAGAATAGAAAGATGGTACCCAAAACTTGATGTTCGTAGGAAACTGCACCCAATTCTGGGCTCTCCATTCCTGCAGGCCTAACTCCGGGCTCTCTGCTCCGCCAGCAGTGGCTCTGCAAGAGCTACAGAATCCTTTGCCTGATTCCAACCCAAGAGGCCCTTGCTTGGAACTAGAGAAAGCAATATGGCACTGCAGGTCTTCCATAGGAACTAGAGATAACAGTTCCCACGTATTGAGAACCTATTATTGCAAAACGTATTTTAAATTTAACACCCCCACCCCCAGAAATTCTATTCAGGAATAAAGGCCCATTTTTCAGGTGAGAAAGCTGAGTGCAGAGGTATAAGGCCCCTAGAACAGGTGGAGCTGGAGTTTGAATGTGGGCCTCCCAGCTAAGTCTTCTTCACATTACTCTCTGCCGCCCACCCAATGTCAGCTGTGACCAAGGCTGGCCCCTCTGGGGAACTGGGGGCCATTGAACTTGAAGACTGCAGAGCCAGCGGTCCTTGGGATCCCGAGGTAATTCTAGAATCATAGAATTCTGTGCTCCCTTTTCAACGAAGTGTGCTGGTTACTAAAGTGGGCTCTAGAGAGAGTCGGCCTGGGTTCGAATCTCCCCTGCTCCATCCCTTACCAGCTCTGTGACTCTGGACAAGTTACTTTCTCTCTCTGAGCCTCCATTTCTTTATCTGTAAAGCGGGAATATCAGTAGGACCTAATTCCAGGGTTGATGGGAGGATTTAGTAAGTTAATCAATGCAAAACACTCAGAAGACTATCTGACACGTAGTAGGTTTCAATAAAGGTTACGACCTATTGTTATTAATATTATTTGTATTAGTTCCTAGGACTGCCGTAACAAAGTACCACACCCCAGGGGGCTTAAACAACAGAAATTTCTTATAACAAATTCTGGAGGCTGGAAGGCTGAGATCAGGGTATCAGCAGGGTTGGTTCTTTCTGAGGCCTCTCTCCTTGGCTTGTGGACAGCCGTCTTCTCCCTGGGTCTTTACATGGTCTACTCTCTGTACCTGTGTCCTAATCTCTTCCTCTTTCCCCCCCCACCACCCCTTTTGAGACAGGCTCTCTGTCGCCCAGGCTGGAGTGCAGTGGCGAGATCTTGGCTCACTACAGCCTCAACCTCCTGGGCTCAAGTGATCCTCCCACCTCAGCCTCCTGAATAGCTGGGACTACAGGCATGCGCCACCATGCCTGGCTAATTTAGCTCTATTTCTTGTAAAGATGGGGTCTCCCTATGTTGCCCAGGCTGGTTTTGAACAACTAGGCTCAAGTGATCTTCCCACCTCTGACTCCCAAAGTACAGGGATTACAGGCATGAGCCACTGCATCAGCCCTAACCTCTTCTTACAGGGACAGCAGTCACACTGGATTGGGACCCACTCCAGTGACTTCATTTTAACTTCATTGCCTCGTATAGACCCTATCTTTAAACAGGGTCACATTCTGAGGTCCTGGGAGGAAGGACTTCATGTGAATTTGAGGGGGACACAGCTCAACCCATAACATAATTGATATTATTAGTCCCCATCCTCCTCTGGAGTAAGGTCTTTTCCATCTGCCTGACTTCCTGGGGTTTCTCTCCCCTTGGCACCCAGAAACCGCAGCCAGGCGCTCAGCTCCGAGGCGAGTGTGGATGAAGGTGGCGTCTTTGAGAGTCTGAAGGCAGAGGCAGCCTCCCCACCAGCGCTCTTCTCGGGCTTATCAGGCAGCCTCCCCACCAGCTCGTTCCCCTCCAGCCTGGTGCTGGGCTCCTCGGCTGGCGGCGGGGACGTGTTCATCCAGATGCCCGCGTCCAGGGAGGAAGGAGGGGGCCGGGGCGAGGGGGGCGCCTACCACCACCGCCAGCCCCACCACCATTTCCACCATGGCGGCCACCGCGGGGGCTCCCTGCTGCAGCACGTGGGTGGGGACCACCGGGGGCACTCGGAGGAGGGAGGCGACGAGCAGCCTGGGACGCCCGCCCCCGCCCTGTCCGAGCTGAAGGCTGTGATCTGCTGGCTCCAGAAAGGACTCCCCTTCATCCTGATCCTCCTGGCCAAACTGTGCTTTCAGCATAAGCTCGGTGAGTTCTGGGGGCATGGGTGTCCTAGCCATGGGCTTCACAGGCAGGCTGCCTGCAGCCGGTGGGGTGGGGGCTCCTCCTCTGAAGCCCAGGGAGAGGCAGCAGAGACCAACATGGGCTTCAGGATGTGGGATTCTGAGTCAGACCTGGGTTCAAATCCTGGCCGACTAGCTGTGTGACTTCAGGCAAGTCACTTGGCTTCTCTGAGCCTCAGTTTCCTCATCTGTCTAGTGGGGGTTAGGATAGAAACTTCCTCGCTGGTTGGCTGGTGTAAAGGAGTGCTGTGTAATAACTCAGACTGCTGGAGTCTGCACCCTAGCTCTGTCCCCTCCTAGTTGTGTGATGCTAGGTGCATTATTTAACCTCTCTGTGCCTCAGTTTCCTCATCTATCAAGTGGGGGTATGATTTTATAGTCTTCATGGGATCACAGTGATGTTAAATTTGACTTAATATGTGTAAAACACATTATTTTTACTATATGTGTGTGTGTATATATATATAATATATATATTATATATATAATATATATATTATATATATATAATATATATTATATATATATAATATATATATTATATATATAATATATATATATATATATTTTTTTTTGAGACAGGGTCTTGCTCTTTCAGCCAGGCTGGAGCGCAGTGGTGCAGGTCTCAGCTCACTGCAACCTTCGCTTACTGCAACTTTTGCCTCCCAGGTTGGTTATCCTCCCACCTCAGCCTCCTGAGTAGCTGGGACTACAGGCGTGTGCCACCACACCCGGCTAAATTTTAAATTTTTTCATAGAGTCGAAGTCTCACTATATTGCCCAGGCTGGTCTCAAATTCCTGGGCTCAAGCAATCCTCCCACCTAAGCCTCCCAAAGTGCTGGGATTACAGGTATGAGCCACTGCCCCGGCCTACTATATTTGTTATTAACACACATTGAAATATTTAACATAGAGCCTGAATTGAAATATTCAACACAGCAAATGATGAATAAATACTACCTATTGTTATTTTTAGGAAATAAGATAATGATTCATAAAGTGCTCAGCCTCCTATCTGACACATACTCAACAGTCAATAATTGGCCTCTAGTATACTGTTTTCTGTTTGTTTGTTTTGACATGGAGTTTTGCTCTTGTTGCCCAGGCTGGAGTGCAATGGCGCGACCTCTGCTCACTGCAACCTCCACCTCCCGGGTTCAAGCAATTCTCCTGCCTCAGCCTCCCGAGTGACTGGGATTACAGGCAACCGCCACCACACCCAGCTAATTTTTGTATTTTTTAGTAGGGACGGGGTTTCACCATGTTGGCCAGGTCTCAAACTCCTGACCTCAGGTGTTCCATCCGCCTCAGCCTCCCAAAGTGCTGGGATTACAGGCGTGAGCTACTGTGCCTGGCCTAGTATACTGTTATTGTTATTATTAATCTTACTTACTGTTTTTTTGTTTGTTTGTTTTTGTTTTTGTTTTTGTTTTTGAGATGGAGTCTCACTCTGTCACCAGGCTGGAGTGCAGTGGCACGATCTCAGCTCACTGCAAACCTCTACCCACTGAGTTCAAGTGATTCTCAGCCCTAACCTCAAGTGATCCACCTGCCTTGGCCTCCCAAAGTGCTGGGATTACAGGTGTGAGCCACCACACCCGGCTTACTTATTAGATCATGGTGTTGCTGTGCCCTGGCGGGCTTATACACTGTTGTTTTAGTACTGCAGTAGGAGTGATGGTAAGAATTATCTTGTGGTCTACTACTTTCCATGAGAAAATATCGGTCAGGTGTGGTGGCTCATGCCTATAATCCCAACACTTTGTGAGGCCGAGGCAGGAGGATTGCTTGAGGCTGGGAGTTCGAGACCAGCCTGGGAAACATAGTGAGACCCTATCTCTACTGAAAAAAAAAGAGAGAGAGAGAAAGCTTCGAGAGGAGATGAGACCATTCTTTATTTCTTATTTTCTTCTTTCTGGTGACTGCCAGCTCGCTCAGATTCCTCCACCTTCCTTGCTGGGGTGCTGCCCTATCAGCCCCACCCTTTCTATTCCTAGAAGTGAAAGCTGGCATCTTCCCCACTACCCTGAATTCTGGCATCACAGCTAAGTTTTGTTTTGTGAGTATGATCATTTTATTTTTCACTTGGCAGGTTTTTTTTGTTTTGTTTTTTAATCAAAGAGAAGAGTACCAAAAAGGATTATGGGGCTACTCATTCTTGTTTTATGTGCTTATAGTGAAGAAATACAGCTTCTACAAAGTAGATCTGGAAAAATAGCTGGAGTACACATACCTATTAAAAGAGTAAGTGCGACCAGGTACGGTGGCTCACGCCTGTAATCCTGGCACTTTGGGAAGCTGAAGTGGGCGGATCACTTGAGGTCAGGAATTCGAGACCAGCCTGGCCAACATGGTGAAACCCCATCTCTACTAATAATTCAAAAATTAGCCAGGTGTGGTGGCACACACCTGTAGTCCCAGCTACTCGGGAGGCTGAGGCACAAGAATCACTTGAACCCAGGAGGTGGAGGTTGCAGTGAGCTGAGATCGCACCACTGCACTCCAGCCTGGGCGACAGAGTGAGACAGTGTCTCAATAAATAAACAGTAAGTGCATCAGGTGAAAGAGGAATCCTGTCTACAAATAACAAAAAGCAGGACTCGAAAATCATTATTTGGGGAGAATTCCAAGATTGTAGCTTGGCAAACAGTGGCAATGAAATGACTGGTGGAAGAAAATTCAATTCCGTTCTGCCATCTGCCTGGGTCATGTTTGTCTGTTAGCTGGGATTTTTTTTTCTCATTGAACATTAAACTTGAATTCCTTATGGCGTTGTAAGTTTTTTCTTTTTCTTTTTTCTTTTTCTTTTTTTTTTTTTTTTTTTTGAGACAGAGTCTTGCTCTGTTGCCCAGGCTGGAGTGCAGTGGTGTGATCTCAATTCACTGCAGCCTCCCCATCCTGGGTTCAAGCAGTTCTTGTGCCTCAGCCTCCTGGGTAGCTGTGACTACAGGCACATGCCACCATGTGTGGCTAATTTTTGTATTTTTACTAGAGATGTGATTTCACCATGTTGGCCAGGCTGGTCTCAAACTCCTGGCCTCAAGTGATCTGCCCACCTCGGCCTCCCAAAGTGCTGGGATTACAAGTGTGTGCCACTGCACCCAGCGGTGAGTTTTTTCAATGTATGCTTTTATCACAAATTCTATCTGATTCTATCAATCAGATTCTTTTTAAAAGTAGAAATAATAAGAGGCATCATTCACTAACTGCTAGGGATTATGATCTAGAAGCTTTATCCCTCTATGAGGTATAAGTAATGTTATTGTTCTGTCCATTTTACAGATGAGGAAACTGGGGCTTAGAGAGGTGCGGTGACTTGCCCAAGCTCAAACAGAGAGGAAGTGGCAGAGCTGGGAATTGAACCCAGCCCTTACCAGACTGCACAGCCCATCCCCTGATCCAGTGCTATAAAGTATCCCCACAGGGACCTAAATCCTGTCCCTAAGTCAGAATGGCTCAGAATTCCCAGAGATTTAGATGGCAGCCCAAATCCCCAAGAAGTGGGATTTTTTTTATTTTTCTCTCTCTTCTGTCAACTCTGAGGGGACCAGGGATGTGCCTTTTCCCCCATGTTGCTCAGCACCTGGGCTAGGCCTGATGAGTCTAAGTGGGTGACATCAGGCCCTTCTCTGTCCCACAGGCATTGCTGTGTGCATCGGGATGGCCAGCACCTTCGCCTATGCCAACTCCACGCTTCGAGAACAGGTCTCACTGAAGGTGAGTCACTTTCCGACCTAGTCTCCTGTGGCTGCTGCAACAAATAAGCCACAAGCCAGGCACAGTCTTCCCGGCAAGTCTCCAGAGTTCATTGTATCATTCTTATGCCTTTGCGTCCTCATAGCTTAACTCCCACATATCAGTGAGAACGTACAATGTTTGGTTTTCCATTCCTGAGTTACATCACTTAGAATAATAGTTTCCAATCTCATCCAGGTCACTGCAAGTGCTGTTAATTCATTCCTTTTTATGGCTGTGTAGCATTCCACCATGTATATATGTATATACATATATATACACCACAATTTCTTTATACACCCGTTGATTGGTGGGCATTTGGGTTGGTTCCACAATTTTAAAATTGTGAATTGTGCTGCTATAAACTTGCGTGTGCAAGTATCTTTTTTGAATAATGACTTCTTTTCCTCTGGGTAGATACCCAGTAGTGGGATTGCTGGATCAAATGGTAGTTCTACTTTTAGTTCTTTGAAGAATCTCTCACACTGTTTTTCATAGCGGTTGTACTAGTTTACATTCCCACCAGCAGTGTAGACGTGTTCCCTGTCCACCGCATTCACACTAGCATCTATTGTTTTTTGACTTTTTGATTATGGCCATTCTTGCAGGAGTGAGGTGGTATCACATTGTGGTTTTGATTTGCATTTCCCTGATCATTAGCAGCGTTAAGCATTTTTTCATGTTTGTTGGCCATTTGTATATCTTCTTTTGAAAATTGTCTATTCATGTTCTTAGCCCACTTTTTGATGGGATTGTTTGTTTTTTTCTTACTGATTTGTTTGAGTTTGTTGTAGATTCCGGATATTAGTCCTTTGTCAGATGTACAGATTGTGAAGATTTTCTCCCACTCTGTGGGTTGTCTGTTTACTCTGCTGACTGTTCCTTTTGCTGTGCAAAAGCTCTTTAGTTTAATTAGGTCCCAGCTATTTATCTTTGTTTTTATTGCATTTCCTTTTGGGTTCTTGGTCATGAAATCCTTGCCTAAGCCAATGTCTAGAAGGGTTTTTCCAATGTTATCTTCTAGAATTTTTATAGTTTTAGGTCCTAGGTTGAAATCCTTAATCCATCTTGAATTGATTTTTGTATAAGGTGAGAGATGAGGATCCAGTTTCACTCTCCTACATGTGGCTAGCCAATTATCCCAGCACCATTTGTTGAAAAGGGTGTCCTTTCCCCACTTTATGTTTTTGTTATGTTCAGTTAGCTGTAAGTATTTTGGTTTATTTCTGGGTTCTCTATTCTGTTCCATTGGTCTATGTCCCTATTTTTTTTTATAGCCCAGAGGTCTTTTTTTTTTTTTTTTTTAACACCTATTATGCCATGAATTCACAGGGAATAGGTTCCAGCAGCTCAGGCTCCTTCCCATTGGCTCTCACAAAGTGTGCTTCTCTGGGTGGAGCAGGCTGGCGCTTGAGTTGAACCCAGGTACCTTTCTCTTCCGCTTCTTTCTTTTTCTGATCATTTTCCTTCATGCATTTCAGGAAGCTATCTCGGCTCTCAGAGTGCTTAATGTGCTCAATATGCACATTAATTCTCTCGGCAAGAATCTTGCCCTTAACTTGTTTGTTTACAACAATGCCAACAGCATGCTGGGTAACATTGTAGACTCTTCCAGTTTTGCCATGGTAACACTTACGGGGCATTCCTTTTTGAACAGTACCCATTCCCTTGATGTCTACGATATCACCTTTCTTATAGATTCACATATACATGGCCAAAGGAACAACTCCATGTTTTCTAAAAGGCCTAGAGAACATATATCGGGTGCCTCTCCTCTTTCCCTTTGTGTTCGTCATTTTGGCGAATTACTAGAAGATGGCAGTTCCGGCTGAAAGGAAAAGATATGTCCTTATTTTTGTACCAGTACCATGCTGTTTTGGTGACTATGGCCTTATAGTATAGGTTGAAATCAGGTAGTGTGATGCCTCCAGCTTTTTCTTTTTGCTTAGTCTTGCTTCAGTTATGTGGGCTCTTTTCTGGTTCCATATGAATTTTGGAATTTTTTTTTTCTAATTCTGTGAAGAATGATGGTAGTATTTTGATGAGGATTGCATTGAATTTGTAGATTGCTTTTGGCAGTAGGGTCATTTTCACAGTATTGATTCTACCCATTCATGAGCATGGGATGTGTTTCCATTTGTTCGTGTCATCTATGATTTCTTTCAGCAATGTTTTGTAGTTGTCCTTGTAGAGGTTTTTCAACTCCGTGGTTAGGTATATTCCTAAGGTTTTTTTTTGTTTTTTGTTTTTTGTTTTGCAGCTATTGTAAAAGGGGTTGAGTTCTTGATGTGATTCTCTACTTGGTCGCCGTTGGTGTATAAAAGAGCTACTGACTTCTGTACATTAATCTTGTATCTGGAAAGTTTGTTTTATATTGGCTGTGGGTTTATCATAGATGGCTTTTATTACACTAAGGTATGTCCCTTGTATGCCATTTTGCTGAGAGTTTTAATCATAAAGGGATGCTGGATTTTGTCAAATGCTTTTTCTGCATCTATTGAAATGATCATGTGATTTTTGTTTTTAATTCTGTTTACGTGGTGTATCACATTTATTGACTTGTGCATGTTAAACCATCCCTGCATCCCTGGTATGAAACCCACTTGATCATGGTGGATTATCTTTTTGGTAATTTGTTGGATTCGGTTAGCAAGTATTTTGTTAAGGATTTTAGCATCTATGTTCATCAAGGATATCCATCTGTAGTTTTCTTTTTTGGTTATGTCCTTTCCTGGTTTTGGTATTAGGGTGATGCTGGCTTCATAGAATGAATTAGGGAGGGTTCCTTCTTTCTCTATCTTGTGGAATAATGTTAAAAAGATTGGTACCAATTCTTCGAATGTCTGGTAGAATTCTGCTGTGAATCTGTCTGGTCCTGAACTTTTTTTTGTTGGTAATTTTTAAATTACCATTTCAATCTCGCTGCTTGTTATTGGTCTGTTTAGGGTATCTAGTTCTTTCTGATTTAAGCGAGAAGGGTTGTATTTTTCCAGGAATTTATCCATCTCTTCTAGGTTTTCTAGTTTTTGTGCATAAAGGTGTTCATAGTAGCCTTGATTGGCCTTTTATATTTCAGTGGTGTCACTTGAAATATCTCCTGTTTCGTTTCTTAGTGAGGTCATTGGATTTTCTCTCTTCTTTTCTTGGTTAATCTTGCTAATGGTCTATCAGTTTTATTTATCTTTTCAAAGAATCAGCTTCTTGTTTCGTTTATCTTTTGAATTTTTTTGTTTCAATTTCATTTAGTTCTGCTCTGATCTTGGTTATTTCCTTTCTTCTGCTGGGTTTGGATTTGGTTTCTTCTTGTTTCTCTAGTTCCTTGAGGGGTGACCTTGGAGTGTCAGTTTGTGCTCTTTCAGTCTTTTTGATGTAAGCATTTAGGGCTATGAGCTTTCCTATTAGCACCACCTTTGCCATATCCCAGAGGTTTTGATAGGTTGTGTCATTATTGTCATTCAGTTTGAAGAATTTTTTAATTTCCATCTTGATGTCATTTTTGATCCAATGCTCATTCAGGAGCAGGTTATTTAATTTCCATGTGTTTGCATGGTTTTGAAGGTTCCTTTGGGAGTTGATTTCCAGTTTTATTCTGCCGTGGTCTGAGAGAGTACTTGATATAATTTCAATTTTCTTAAATTTATTGAGGCTCGTTTTGTGGCCTATCATATAGTCTATCTTGGAGAAAGTTCCATGCGCTGTTGAATAGAATGTGTATTCTGCGGTTGTCAGATGAAATGTTCTGTATGTATCTGTTAAATCCATTTGTTCCAAGGTATAGTTTAAATCCATTGTTTCTTTGTTGACTTTCTGTCTTGATGACCTGTCTAGTGCTGCCAGTGGAATACTGAAGTCCCCTACTATTACTATGTTGCTGTCAATCTCATTTCTTAGGTCTGTTAGTCATTGTTTTATAAATGTGGGAGCTCCAGTGTTAGGTGCATATATATTTAGAATTGTGATATTTTCCTGTTGGACAAGGCCTTTTACCATTATATAATGTCCCTCTTTGTCTCTTTTAACCACTGTTGCTTTAAAGTTTGTTTTGTCTGATATAAGAATAGCTACCCCTGCTTGCTTTTGGTGTCCATTTGCATGAAATGCCTTTTTCCACCCCTTTAAGTTTATGTGAGTCCTTATGTGTTAGGTGAGTCACCTGAAGGCAGCAGATGGTTGGTTGGTGAGTTCTTATCTATTCTGTGATTCTGTGTCTTTTAAGTGGAGCATTTAGGCCACTTACATTCAATGTTAGTATTGAAATGTGAGGTACCATTGCATTCATCATGCTCTTTGTTGCCTGTGTACTTTGGTTTTTTCATTTTTTGTTTTTGCTTTTTAACTTGTATTTTTGTTTTATGGTCCTGTGTGATTTATGCTTTAAAGAGGGTCTGTTGTGATGTGTTTCCAGGATTTGTTTCAAGATTTAGAGCTCCTTTTAGCAGTTCTTATAGTGGTGACTTGGTAATGGCAAATTCTTGGTAATGGGTGAATTCTCTTAGCATTTGTTTGTCTGAAAATACTGTATCTTTCCTTCATATATGATTGTTAGTTTCACTGGATACAAAATTCTTGGCTAATCATTGTTTTGTTTGAGGAGGCTGAAGATAGGGCCCCAATCCCTTCTAGCTTGTAGGGTTTCTGCTGAGAAATCTGCTGTTAATCTGATGGGTTTTCCTTTATAGGTTAGCTGGTGCTTCTGTCTCACAGCTCTTAAGATTGTTTCCTTCGTTTTAACTTTGGATAACCTGATGACAGTGTGCCTAGGCAAAGACCTTTTTGCGATGAATTTCCCGGGTGTTCTTTGTGCTTCTTGTATTTGGATGTCTAGGTCTCTAGCAAGGCCGGGGACGTTTTCCTCGATTATTCCCCCAAATATGTTTTCCAAGCTTTCAGAATTCTCTTCTTCAGGAACACTGATTATTCTTAGGTTTGGTCATTTAACATAATCCCAGACTTCTTGGAGGCTTTGTTCATATTTTCTTATTCCCTTTTCTTTGTCTTTGTTGGATTGGGTTAATTCAAAGACCTTGTCTTCGAGCTCTGAATTTCTTTCTTCTACTTGTTCAATTCTATTGCCGAGACTTTCCAGAGCATTTCGCATTTCTAAAAATGTGTCCAAAGTTTCCTGAATTTTTAATAGTTTTTTCTTTAAGCTATCTATTTCCTTGAATATTTCTCCCTTCACTTCTTGTATCATATTTTGGAATTCGTTGCACTGGGCTTTGCCTTTCTCTGGTCCCTCCCTGATTAGCTTAATAACTAACTTTCTGAATTCTTTTTCAGGTAAATCAGGGATTTCTTCTTGGTTTAGATCCATTGCTGGTGAACTAGTGTGATTTTGGGGGAGTGTTGAAGAGCCTTGTTTTGTCATATTACCAGGGATGGTTTTCTGGTTCCTTCTCATTTGGGTAGACTCCGTCAGACGGAAGGTCTAGGGCTGAAGGCTGTTGTTCAGATTCTTTTGTCCCAGGGGGTTTTCCCTCTTTTTGGTACTCTTCCCCCTTTTCCTATGGATGTGGCTTCCTGTGAGCCAAACTGCAGTGATTGTTGTCTGTCTTCTGGGTCTAGCCACCCAGCGAGTCTACCTGGCTCCAGGCTGGTACTGGGGGTTGTCTGCACAGAGTCCTGTGATGTGAACTGTCTATGGGTCTCTCAGCCATGGATACCAGTGCCTGTTGCCATGGAGGTGGTGGAGGGTGCAATGGACTCCGTGAGGGTTCTTAGCTTTGGTGGTTTAATGCGCTATTTTTGTGCTGGTTGGCCTCCTGCCAGGAGGTGGCGCTTTCCAGAGAGCATCAGCTGTGGTAGCGTGGCGAGGAACCCGTGGAGCTCTAGAACTCTCGAGTTTCTATGGCCTTTGTCTTCCGCTACCAGGGTGGGTAGGAGGGAAGGACCATCGGGTTGGGGTGAGGCTAGGCGTTTCTGACCTCTCACTCTCCTTGGGCGGGTCTTGCTATGGGTTAAGTAGATGACATTCCCAGGTCACTGGTGTTGTGTACCAAGGAGGATTATGGTTGCTTCTGCTGAGTCATGCAGGTTGTCAGGGAAGTGGGGGAAAGCTGGCAGTCACAGGCCTCACCCAGCTCCCCTGCAAAACGAAGGGCCGGTCTCACTCCCACCATGCCCACCACAACAGCCCCCAGACCATTTCCAGGTGGAGAGCGATAGGGGCTTGAAAACCTGCCCCAGACTATCCGCCTCCCAGCTGCCAAAGAAGAGGGTTTAGTTCGTGCCGCCGCTGTGGAGTCTGCACACTGGATTTGCACCCTCCCCTGAGTTCTGGCCAGGAGGCTTCTTACCCTGTTCAAATTGTTACACAGTTCAGCTAGAGATTTGCTTCTCCCTGTGGAGTTTTAGCCCTTGCTCCTACCCATTGGATCCCCGTGGTGCCAGACAGGAATGGGCTGCTGGGGGACCCAGTGAGCTCCCAGGGCCTTGCTGCTGCTTCCTCTACGCCTGTATTTTGCTTGGCTTTCCAAATTGACTCAGCGCCAGATAAAGTTGGAAACTTCTCCTGCAAACAGACCTTCAGCTTCCCCCGTGAGGGTGAGTGTTCGGGAGAGGAGGGTCTCCCTTTCCCACTTCCGCAGTTGGGGCATTCGCAGTTTTGGGGGGCTCTCCTGGGTCCTGCAGGAGCAGTCCGTTTCCTTCAGAGAGTCTGTGGGTCCTCTCGGGATTGCTGGTTTGTCCTTGCAGTCAATCTGGTGCTAAAATTCACAATGCGAGCTGCCGCCCGCTGCTCTCTCTGGAGCTGCAATCTAGTCCTGCCTCCCATCCGCCATGATCTCACCAAAACCTCTTCTTTTATTTCATAATTTTTAGAGACAGAGTCTTGCTCTGTTGTCCAGGCTGCAGTGCAGTGGCATGACCATAGCTCATTGTAGCCTCCAACTCCCGGATTCAAGCAATCCTCTGACCTCAGCCTCCTAGGGAGGCCATTCTTCGGTCTATCACCCCTGGGTAGATCCCTGAATGTTCCTTCTTTCTCCCCTCCAACAGCAGCATCTCCTCCACGTACACCTAGCCCAGTCCCTTTACGCCGCAGACATTCAGCTCATTAGCTCACTTTCATTTTTTGTTTTTTTCTTTTTGAGACGGAATCTTGCTCTGTTGCCCAGACTGGAGTGCAGTGGCATGATCTTGGCGCACTGTAACCTCTGCCTCCCAGGTTCAAGCAATTCCTCTGCCTCAGTCTCCCCAGTAGCTGGGACTACAGACACACACCACCACGCCTAGCTAATTTTGTATTTTTAGTAGAGACGGGGTTTCACCATGTTGGCCAGGCTGGTCTCAAACTCCTGACCTCCGGTAATCCGCACACCTTGGCCTCCAAAAGTGCTGGGTTTACAGGCGTGAGCCACCATGCCTGGCCCCATTAGGTTACTTTCATTCCACCTTCATGCTTATGGCCATTCCTCTTATGCTGCTGGGTGGACATAGAGCTTCACCACCATCCTCCTGCATGTCCTCTGTGTCTGCTGAGCACTAACTGCGTGCCCGGCACAGTACTGAGCCCATTGCTCATCTCAGCAGGTTCATCCCAGCAACCTGGGAGGGAAACAAAATCATTTTTCTGTCATTTTCCCACTGAGGAAACAGTGGCTCAGAGACACTAAGTTCCTTACCTGAGGTCACACAGCCAGTGCAAGTGATGGCATCATGATTTGCACCTGGGTAGTTGAGCCCGTGCTCATTCCAGGTTCAAATCCCTGCTCCTCCACCCACCTGCAGACCCTCAATTAGGTTACCTTGGTGATCTCAGCCTCAGGTGCCGCCTCTGGAAAAGAGCCTGTTGGCACCAATTCACAAACCCATTGAAAGGATTGAATGAAATAGTGCATCCAGGCCGGTCGCGGTGGCTCACGCCTGTAATCCCAACTACTCAGAAGGCTGAGGCATGAGAATCATTTGAATCTGGGAGGCAGAGGTTGCAGTGAGCCGAGATCACACCACCACCCTCCAACCCGGGTGACAGAGTGAGACTGTCTCAAAAAAAAAAAAAAAACAGAAAAAAAGAAAAGAGCCAGGCACTGTGGCTCATGCATGCAATCCCAGCATTTTGGGAGGCCAAGGCAGGTGGATCACTTGAGGTCAGGAGTTTGAGACCAGCCTGAACAACGTGGTGAAACCCCGTCTCTACTAAAAAGATACAAAATTAGCCAGCCATGGTGGCTCACACCTGTAATCCCAGCTACTTGGGAGGCTGAGGCAGGAGAATTGCTTGAACCTGGGAGGTGGAGGTTGAAGTGAGCCAAGATTGTGTCATTGCACACCAGCCTGGGTTGAGATGGTTTGATGGTTTGAGATGGTTTCACTCCATCTCAAAACAAAAAAAAAAAACAAAGAAAGAAATAGTGCATACAAGGTGTTTAGCACAAGTACTGGGTATGGTGGCCTATGCCTGTAATCCCAGCAACTCAGGAGGCTGAGGCGGGAGGATCCCTTGAACCCAGGAGTTTGAGACCAGTCTGGGCAACATAGCAAGACCCCTTTCTTCTCTACCAATTTTTTTTTTTTTTTTTGAGATGAAGTCTCACTCTGTCACCCAGGCTGGAGTGCAGTGGTGCAATCTCGGCTCACTGCAACCTCTGCCTCCCAAGTAGCGAGATTACAGGTGTGCACCACCAAGATTACCAAGTGATTCTCCTGCCTCAGCCTCCTGAGTAGCTGAGATTACAGGTGCATGCCACCATGCCTGGCTAATTTTTATATTTTTAGTAGAGATGGGGTTTCACCACGTTGGCCAGGCTGGTCTTGAACACTTGACCTCAGGTGATCCGACCACCTCAGCCTCCCAAAGTGCTGGGATTACAGGCGTGAGCCACCATACCTGGCTTGCAAAAGTTTTTTTAAAAAGTTAGCCAGGTGTGGGGGCATGTGCCTGTCATCCTAGCTACTCAGGAGGCTGAAGCAGGAGGATTGCTTGATCCCAGGAGTTTGAGGCTGCAGTGAGCTATGATTGCACCACTGCACTCTAGCCTGGGCAACAGAACAAGACCTTCTCTGTTTAAGAAAAAATAAAAAGAAGGCAATGTTTAGCATGGTGCCTGGCATGTAGGAAACATTTAATTGAGCTAGTTTTCAAAAGTCTGTGCTTTCAGAAAAAAAAAAAAAATCTCATCAGAAAGTGGCCTAAGGATGTTAATAGGCAATTCTCAAAAGAAGATATACAAATGGCCAACAAACTTATGAAAAAATGCTCAGCATCACTACCGATCAGGGAAATGCAAATCAAAACCACAATGCAGTACCACCTTACTCCAGCAAGAATGGCCATTATCAAAAAATCAAAAAATAATAGATGTCGGCATGAATGCGGGAACACTTCTGCACTGCTGGTGGGAATGTAAACTAGTACAACCACTATGGAAAACAGTGTGGAGATTCCTTAAAGAACTAAAAGTAGAACTAGGTGGGGCGCAGTGGCTCACGCCTGTAATCCCAGCACTTTGGGAGGCTGAGGTGGGTGGATCACAAGGTCAGGAGATCGAGACCATCCTGGCTAACACAGTGAAACCCCATCTCAGTTAAAAAAAAAAATAACAAAAAAAAAATTAGCTGGATGTGGTGGCAGACGCCTGTAGTCCCAGCTACTCGGGAGGCTGAGGCAGGAGAATGGCGTGAACCTGGGAGTTGGAACTTGCAGTGAGCCGAGATCGCGCCACTGCACTCCAGCCTGGGTGACAGAGCGAGACTCCATCTCAAAAAAAAAAGGGGGCGGGGGGGGAAAGAACTAAAAGTAGAACTACCATTTGATCCAGCAATCCTACTACTAGGCATCTACCCAGAGGAAAAGAAGTCATTATACGAAAAAAATACTTACATACTCATGTTTATAGCAGCACAATTCACAATTTCAAAAATGTAGAACCATCCCAAATGCCCATCAACCAATGAGTGGGTAAAGAAACTGGTATATGTATATGATGGAATTCTACTCAGCCATAAAAAGGAATGAATTAATGGAATTCGCAGCAACCTGGATGGGATTGGAGACTATTATTCTAAGTAAAGTAACTCAGGAATGAAAAGCTAAACCTTTTGTATGTTCTCACTCATAAGTGGTAGCTAAGCTATGAGGATGCAAAGGCATAAGAATGATACAGTGGACTTTGGGGACTCTGGGGGAAAGAGTGGGAAGGGAGTGAGGGATTAAAGACTACAAATTGGGTTCAGTGTATACTGCCCAGGTGATGGGTGCACGAAAATCTCACAAATCACCACAAAAGAACTTATTCATGTAATACCACCTGTTCACCAAAAACCTATGGAAATAATTTTTTTTTTAAAGTCTGTGCTTTCTCCTGCACAGGTGATCCCATAATAATCACCAGCTTCACTGACCCTTCTATAGCATCGTCTGCTTTCTCAAAAGCACTTGGGCCTCCATGCAGCATGGAGGACAACCCAGTCTCCATTTGCACATGAGCACATTGAGGTTCGGAGTTGGGGACAGAGTCAGAGGTCCTTCCTGACCCTTAGTCTCATCTTCTTTATGCAAACTCCTTTCTGCTGTTGTTAAAACAGTAGGAGGGGGCAAGGACAGTGGCTCACGCCTATAATCCCAGCACTTTGGGAGGCTGAGACAGGTAGATCACCTGAGTTCAGCAGTTCGAGACCAGCTTGGCCAACATGGTGAAACCCCGTCTCTACTAAAAATACAAAAATTAGCTGGGCATGGTGGTGGGCGCCTGTAATCCCAGCCACTTGGGAGGCTGAGGCAGGAGAACCACTTGAACCCAGGAGGCGGAGGTTGCAATGAGCTGAGATTGCGCCACTACACTCCAGCCTGGGCAACAAGAGCGAAAGTCCGTCTCAAAAACAAACAAACAAAACAGTAGGAGGCAGCTTTGGGGGCTAGGTCTGTCTCAAATGCAGTAACATCCAAATGGCACCTTGACTTAAATTTTAGGAGCTGAGAGGATCTCTGTATCCATGGACGGGCCTCCAGGGGTCCTTGATGCTCATGAAGACACAGGTGACACTTTGCCTGTATGTGCGTATCTTCCATAAGAGCAGGTCTACATGGCCCTTAGTAAGCTTAGGCGTCGCAGCTGATTAGGAGAGAACTACCTCCTTTGTCCTTCAGTTTCTGTCTTCCCAGAACATTGCTAATTCCCTCTTCCTATTCCACCTTTGGTTTGGATTCATAGAGAATTAAACTGGAATCTATTATTCATTGGAGTAAAAAGAGCTGCCAGGTGGATTAATCACATTGATAAGAGCAGTTGGTTGGTTGGAGGTGGTTTCTAGCATCATTAACCTTGACTGCTCCTGGAATAATGGGTGGATGGAGATGCATTTGTTTCGTCCACTCTCTGGAAATGTGCATCATAACAGTGCGTGGGGCACTGAGCTGTGTCTGGAGACACTGTGTATTGAGCATTTACCGAAACCACAGGGAAGGTTACACTGGGAAAGTTATGACCTCATCTTATTCCAGCAATGCAGCCACTCCAGTCTGAAAAAAGGCACGAGCTGTTGAGAATCAACAGCAGAGGGATCTGCCTATGTGTCCCAGGGTACATAGGCAGGAACACGCCCCCCTTTGCATCTCCTTCAGACATTTCCTAGGATTGCTGTCAGGCTATGAAACTGCTGGGAAACAGCAAACTGAGGATTTCCAATTTGTCTTCCTGGGGACTAGACAGGAATGAGGCTGAAGAAGGAGAAATGGGGCTGGATTGTGAAGGGCTTTGAGAATTAGGTATATAAGCTTGGATTTAATTCTACACTGTGGCATTCCATGGAATGGTCAGTCCAGGGCAGCGGGCCAGAGGTCTTCCCTAGAAAAAGTGAAAGCAGAAATTTCCAGCCTCTAGATCTGAATCTTCTGCTGGGTTGTAAACTCTTAATAATCAGTCCTACCCCTTAGCAAGCTTTAAATATGAATCTGTACCAGACTGAATGTTTGCATTTAAAAATTTGACTTTTGCCTGTAATTCCAGTGTTTTGGGAGCCCAAGGCAGGAGGATCACTTGAGGCCAGGAGTTCAAGACCAGCCTGAGCCAAATAGCAAGACTCTGTCTCTAAAAAAAAATAAAAATTTTTTTTTAATTAGCCAGGTATAGTGACACCTGCCTGTGGTGCTAGCTACTTAGGATGCTGAGGCAGGAGGATCACTTGAGCCCAGGAGTTCAAGGTTACAGTGAGCTATGATCACACTACTGTACTCCAGCCTAGGGAACAGAAAAAAAAATTAAAATAAAAAATTTGATTTAATCTTTAACAACCCCATTTTCAAATGAAGACACTGAGACTTAAAACACAGCCCCTTGAGGTTTCTTAACCTCTCTGTGCTTTAGTTCTTAACAGCATTTTATGTACTTTAATTCTTACAACTCTATAAGGTAGATACTAAGATATACCCATTTTACAGATGAGGAAAGGGAAACTGAAAGAGTTTAAATAACTTGCCTGGAGTTGGACAGCTCCCACACAGGATTTGACCAGGGATTTGAATGTGTGCCATGCTGCTCTGGAGTCTGCTGCGAACCATGGTGTTCTCTTGCCTTTCTAGATAGTTTTTCAAGCAGATGTCCACCATTCTGCCACCTTCTCCGTGACCACCGCTTGGGTATCAGTGGAATAGAAAGGTGCCAATGCCCTTCCTTTCACCTTCAGCACCACTTCCTTCAAAATGTTGACAAAGTGAAAAGCTGCCAGTCATCAGGGTACATTCTGGAAGGTTCTGCCACATGCACCTTTGATATCACATATCTCTTGCTTTGTCTTCAGGAGAAGAGGTCAGTGCTGGTCATCTTGTGGATCCTGGCCTTTCTGGCGGGGAACACCCTCTATGTGCTTTATACATTCAGCTCCCAGCAGCTGTACAACAGGTGAGCATGGGAATCCAACCCCCACGGTGGGAGAGTGGGGCACTTGGCTGGGCTTGGGGCACGTACCCTTTCACTTGAGAATGAGGCACAAGCTCTATGTCATGTTGTAACTTCCAAATTCCACCCTGCTGTTACTACTTATATATATCTAGACCAGCACTCAATAGTAGAATTTCAAGGCAAGCCACATAGGTAAATTAACATCTTCTAGTTACTGAAAACTAAACAGAAACAGGTGGAATCAATTATAATAATTGATTTTATTTAACCCAGTATATCAAAAATATTTGTTTTTTGTTTTGTCTGTTTGTTTTGCTTTTTTTTTGAGACAGGATCTCACTGCATCACCCAGGCTGGCAGTGGTGTGATCATGGCTCACTGCAGCCTCGACCTCCCAGGGCTCAGGTGATCCTCCCACCTCAGCTTCCCAAGTAGCTGGTACTACAAGTGCATGCCACCACACCTGGCTAATTTTTACATTTTTTGTAGAGATGGGGTTTCCCTGTGTTGCCCAGGCTGGGCTCGGACCTCTGAGCTCAGGCAATCCACCTGCCTTGGCCTCCCAAAGTGCTGGGATTGATTACAGGTGTGAGTCGCCGCACCTGGCCCCGAAAGATTGTCATTTCAACATACGATCGATATAAAAATTATGTTTTTTTTTTGTTTGTTTTTTCTTGTTTTTTGAGACAGAGTCTCACTCTGTCGCCCAGGCTGGAGTGCAGTGGCACGATCTCAGCTCACTGCAATCTCCGCCTCCCAGGTTCAAGCAGTTCTCCTGCCTCAGCCTCCCAAGTAGCTGGGATTACAGACATGCGCCACCACGCCCAGCGAATTTTTGTATTTTTAGTAGAGACAGGGTTTCACCATATTGGTCAAGCTGGTCTCAAACTCCTGACCTCGTGATCCACCTGCCTTGGCCTCCCAAAGTGCTGGGATTACAGGCGTGAGCCACTGCCCCTGGTTTTACATTCTTTTTTCACGTTAACTCTTTGTAATCTGGTATCTTACATATACAGCTCATGTCAGTTCCAACTAACCACATTTCAAGTGTTCAAAATGGTTAGTGAACACTGTATGAATAGTGCAGGTCTGGAATATTTCTGGAAGGACAACCAAGAAACTAGAAATAATAATTGCCTCTTGGTGGGCACTGGAGATCAGAAACTTACTTTGCACAGTTTGGCCTTTTTTTTTTTTTTTTGGAGATGGAGTTTCACTCTTTGTTGCCCAGGCTGGGGTGCAGTGGTGCAATCCCGGCTCACTGCAACCTATGCCTCCCAGGTTCAAGTGATTCTCCTGTCTCAGCCTCTTGAGTAGCTGGGATTACAGGCACCTGCCACCATGCCCAGCTAATTCTTGTATTTTTCATAGAGATGGGGTTTCACCATGTTGGCCAGGCTGGTCTCGAACTCCTGACCTCAGGTGATCCGCCGGCCTTGGCCTCCCAAAGTGCTGGGATTACAGGCATGAGCCACCGCACCCAGCCCAGTTTGGCCTTTTATATTACAGTCATGTGTCACGTAATGATGTTTCTGTCAACGATGGACCATATAGACAACAGTGGTCCCATAAGGTTATAATGGAGCTAGAAAATTCTATTACCTAGTGATATTGCAGCCATCATAACGCTGTAGCACAGTGCCTTACTCATGTATTTGTGGTGATGCTGGGGTAAACCTATTGTCCTGCCAGTCATATAAAAGTAGAGTGCATGCAATTATGTACAGTACCTAATGCTTGATAATGATCATAAAAGACTATGTTACTGGTTTATATTTTTACTATACTTTTCATTGTCATTTTTTTTTTATTTTTCTCTCTCTTTTTTTTTTTTGAAACGAGTTTTGCCCTTGTCGCCCAGGCTGGAGTGCAGTGGTGTGATCTCGGCTCACTGCAACCTCCGCCTCCCAGGTTCAAGTGATTCTCCTGCCTCAGCCTCCCAAATAGCTGGGATTACAGGTGCTCACCACTACGCCCGGCTAATTTTTGTATTTTTAGTAGAGAAAGTGTTTTGCCATATTGGCCAGGCTGGTCTCAAACTCCTGATCTCAGGTGATCTACCTGCCTCAACCTCCCAAAGTGCTGAGATTGCAGGCGTGAGCCACAGTGCCCACCCATTGTCATTTTAGAGTATACTTTTTCTACTTGTAAAAAATAAAAGTTGGCCGGGCGCAGTGGCTCACACCTGTAATCCCAGCACTTTGGGAGGCCAAGGTGGGCAGATCACGAGGTCAGGAGTTCAAGACCACCCTGGCCAAGATAGTGAAACCCCTGTCTCTACTAAAAATACAAAAATTAGCTGGGCGTGGTAGCAGGTGCCTGTAATTCCAGCTACTTGGGAGGCTGAGCCAGAGAATTGCTTGGACCCGGGAGGCAGAGGTTGCAGTGAGCCGTGATCACGCCACTGCACTCCAGACAGAGTGAGACTCCGTCTTAAAGTTAACTGTAAGGCAGCCTTAGGCAGTGCCTTTCAGAAGAAGACATTGCTATCGTAGGAGATTACAGCTCCATGGGTGTTATTGCCCCTGAAGATCTTCCAGTGGGACAAGATGTGGAGGTGGAAGACAGTGATATTGATGATTCTGACCCCACGTAGGGTGAGGCTAAGGTGTACGTTTATGTCTTAAGTTGTAACAAAAAATTTTAAAAATAGGAAAAACCTTATAGAATAAGGATATAAAGAAAATATTTCTGTACAGCTGTACAATCTGTATTAAGCTAAGTGTTATTATAAAATAGTCAAAAAATAAAAACTAAGTGTACCAAGTAAAAATGTTACAGTAAGCTAAGGTCAATTTATGATTGAAGAAATAAACATTTTAAAATAAATGTAACGGCCGGGCATGGTGGCTCATGCCTGTAATCCCAGCACTTTGGGAGGCCAAGGTGGGTGGATCATTTGAGGTCAGGAGTTTGAGACCAGCCTGACCAACATGGTGAAACCCCGTCTCTACTAAAAAAAATACCAAAATTAGCCAGGTGTGGTGGCAGGATCCTGTAATCCCAGCTACTTGGGAGGCTGAGGCAGGAGAATCATTTGAACCCGGGAGGCAGAGGCTACAGTAAGCCAAAATCGTGCCACTGCATCCAGTCTGGGTGATAGAATGAGACTCTATCTCAAAATAAAATAAAATAAATGTAGTGTAGCCTACATGTACAGTGTCTGTAAATTCTACAGCAGTGTATAGTCATGTCCTAGGCCTTCACATTCATTCACCACTCTCTCATTGACTCACCCAGAGCAACTCCCAGTCCTGCAAGCTCCAGTGATAGTAAGTGTCCTATATGGGTGTATCTTTTTTCATCCTTTATACAGTGTTTTTACTGTGCCCTTTCTGTTTAGATATACAGATACCATTGTGTTATAATTGTCTATAGTATTCAGTACAGTAACAAGCTATGTAGGTTTGTAATCTAAGAGTAATAGGCTATATCATATAGCCTAGATGTGTAGTAGGCTATGCTAACTAGTTTTGTGTAAGTCAACTCTGTGGTGTTCACACAAGGACCAGGTCACCTAAGGATGTGTTTCTCAGAACATGTCCCAGTCATTAAGCGATGTATGACTGTATTTGATTTTTCCCCCATCTGATGAATGTAACAGCTTTTAAAAGTTATTTTAAGTATGTATGTCTTTTTTCTTTGTTTTTTCATTTTTTTTTTAAACAACATCTTGCTCTGTCACCCAGGCTGGAGTGCAGTGGTGTGATCACACTCACTGAAACCTTGACCTCCCAGCCTCAAGCAATCTTCCCACCTCAGACTCCCAAGTAGCTGGGACTTCAGGCGCATGTTACCATGCTCAGCTAAATTTTTTTATTTTTAGTAGAGATGAGGTTTCTCCATGTTGCCCAGGCTGGTCTTGAACTCCTTGCCTCAAGTGATCCACCCACCTCAGCCTCCCAAATGGCTCACAGGTGTGAGCCATTGTGACCAGCTTTTTCTTTTTTCATTCATTCATTCTTTCATTCATTTATGCCTGTACTTTTTAAAAGTCCTTAAAGATACTCACTAAAACAGAGGTTGGCAGACTACAGCCATTCACCCATTTTTATTAGTAACATTTTGCTGAAACACAGCTACACCCATCCATTTACGTATCATTTATGAGTTCATCTGTGCTCCAACAAAGTTGAATGGTTATGGCAGAGACCATATAGCTTACAAAGCCAAAAATATTTGCTCTCTGTTTTTAAAGGAAAAGGTTGCTGACTCCTGACCTAAAATATTAACAGTGGTCCTCTAGACGTTAAACATGTGGATAGTCCAGGTGCGTTGGCTCACGCTGTAATCCCAGCACTTTGGGAGGCCGAGATGGGCAGATCACTTGAGCCCAGGAGTTCGAGACCATCCTGGGCAACATGGTGAGACTCCATCTCTACAAAAAATACAAAAATTAGCCGGGCATGGTGGCGTGCACCTATAGTCCCCGCTACCCTGGAGACTAGGGTGGGAGGATCACATAAGCCTGGGAGGTCAAGGCTGCAGTGAGCCATAATCACACCACTGCACTCCGGCCTGGGTGACAAAATGAGATCCTATCGTTAAAAAAAAAAAAAAAAAAAAAAAAAAAAAAAAAAATACGTATATGAGCAATTTTATTTTTTTCTTTAGAATTATCTGTATTTTATAATTTTTTTGTAATGGACACTTTTTTTTACATAGTAATAGCAGTGCTTTTTAAATAATGTTAAGTGATAAAAATGTCTACCCCATCTGGGTTGAGCTGTGCAGAGACAAGGTAACAGGGCTTCTTGCTCCTACACCCCAAATACATGTCCCATGATGTGGGCACCCTCTTCTGTGACATTGACTCAGAGTTCTACGCAATGTGGTGGGGCAAGTGGGGAGGCAAAGCACAGGAAATTGAATGGATTACTTAGCCCCGACTTATCATCAGCTTCCTTAAAATATCCCTGTCACCCTGGCAGCCATGCACCTGGAAGTTCTTTTGAAACGAGACGCTTCCTCCACAAATCTGCCAACGTAAATGAAGCAGGCAGAATCTCACTCACTCCCATGAACATCTCGAACGGTCAACAGTTTCCCTCCTGAGTTCCTTCAGGGCTGCTTGCCAGCCTCCGATGTTTTTTAATGAGTTTGTTTCCCCTGGTGCCTATACAATGCTGTCCCATAGTTGCTGCCCCATCAATATTTGTCAAATAAATGAGTATCTCAGATTTTTTTTTATTTTGGAGACACAGTCTTGCTCTGTTGCCCTAGCTGGAAGGTAGTGGTGCCATCATGGCTCACTGCAGCCTTGAACTTCTGGGCTCAAGCGATCCTCCCACCTCAGCCTCCCAAAGTGCTGGGAATACTGGCATGGGCCACCACACCTGGTCACAGTTTGTAAAGTTACTTATATTTCTAATTTCAAAAGTAATTTTTATTTTATTTTGTTTTTATTTTTTGAGACAGAGTCTCGCTCTGTCACCAGGCTGAAGTGCTGTGGTGCGATCTCGGCTCACTGCAACCTCCAGCTCCCTGGTTCAAGCGATTCTCCTGCCTCAGCCTCCTGAGTAGCTGGAATTACAGGCATGTGCCACCACGCCCGGCTGATTTTTGTATTTTTAGTAGAGACAGAGTTTCACCATATTGGCCAGAATGGTCTTCATCTCCTGACCTCGTGATCCACCCGCCTCGGCCTCCCAAAGTGCTGGGATTACAGGTGTGAGCCATTGCGCCCAGCCCAAAAGTAATTTATTTTTAATTGTGAAAATTGGAAAACCCATTTAAAAAGGACCAAAAACACCTCCAATTCTGTCACCTAACAGCAACTCTGCTAACATTTTTCTCTACATATTTATACATATTTGTTGTGGAAGTTGTAGTGTGCAGAACATGCCATTTTACAACTCTTTCATTTACCAGCATATCACTTTAATGCACAAGAAATGTCAACAAATGCAAGGAGCATTTCTTTATTTATTTTGAGACAGAGTCTTGCTCTGTCGCCCAGGTTGGAGTGCAGTGGCACAATCTCAGCTCACTGTAACCTCCGTCTCCTGGGTTCAAGCAATTCTCCTGCCTCAGCCTCTCAAGTAGCTAGGACTACAGACACATGCCACCACATCCAGCTAATTTTTGTATTTTTAGTAGAGACAGGGTTTCACCAAGTTGGCCAGGATGGTCTCGATCTCTTGACCTTGTGATCCACCTGCCTCGGCTTCCCAAAGTGCTGGGATTACAGGTATGAGCCACCACGCCCGGCCAATTTTTCATAATTTTAATAGAGACAGGTTTCACCATGTTGGCCAGGCTGGTCAGGAACTCCTGACCTCAGGTGATCTGCCCGCCTTGGCCTCCCAAAGTGCTGGGATTACAGGCGTGAGCCACCATGCCCAGCCGCAAGTAACGTCTATTGACACTTCCTGTGTGTGTGCCCAGGACTATATTAAGAAAACATATCAACTAAGGGCCCTTTGGGTTACTAACTTAAGCAAACAGGGAATTCTTCCTTTAGGCATTGTTCCATGCAGGGACTCAAACAATCCTAGGAAAACCAAACAACAAGCCTCGAGAAAGGGCAGGGACCAGGGACTTCCTGGAATTTGATGTTCAGTTCTTGGCATGACTTAGCCGTTCACTGGCAGTCTCTGTTTCTCCTTTAAAATTAAAGACAGAGCGCTTCTGGTTGGCTTTTCATGGGCCAGAGGGGCTGGGTCGCAGAGTCCAGTGGGGATGTGGATGCTTTCCCTGAGGATGGCAGTGGTGAGCACATCTCAGAATAGTCACAGGCTCAGCAGAGGCCCTAAATGCAACTACTTGGAAGAATCTGTAGAGGGTGTAAGGGTGATGGGAATCACATCTCTACATCAGATACAAAATTGTGTAAGTCCCAGACTTAGAGATTTCACAAACCAGTAAATTGACCCACAACAAAGTCCAGGGGTTTACCATGTAGATATCTGCTTGCTTTTTGCAACTGAAAACATATTTTTAAAATGATCATCATGCAATAGCCAAAAGGTAGAAGCAACCCAGTGTCTATTGACAGATGAATGGATAAACACCCTGCGGTATGTACATACAGTGGAATATTATTCAGCCTTAAATAGAAAGGAAATTCTGACACATGCTGCAACATGGATGAAACTTGAGGACATTTTGTGAATTGAAATAAGCCAGATAAAAAAGGACATTAAGTGTATGATTTCACTTACATGAAGTACCTAAAGTAGTCAGATTTATAGACAGAAAGAATGGCGGTTGCCAGGGACTGGGGGGAGAAGGGAATGTGGAGTTACTGCTAATGGGTACAGAGTCTCAGCTTTGCAAGATGAAAAGAGGTCTGTGGTTGGATAGTGGTGATGATTATGCAACAATGTGAATGTACTTAGCATCATTGAACTGTGCGCGTAAAAATGGTTAAGACGGTACCTTTTATGTTATGTGTGTTTTACCACAATTAGAAAAAAAGATCATCTACCACTGACATCATTTCATAAAAGAATGGTTATTTTAACACCAAAGAATTAAGTAGGAAAGAAAAATAATCCTGTAAGCAGAATACATTTAGCTTCATTTAAAAAAAAGTATTTAGAGATCACTGCATAAGCGAATGCTAATCAGAACGTGATTGCTGTTTGTGGAAACTATCAGAGCTGTCAGAATTGAGGGAAGATTCTTTTGTGGATGGTTGGGGGTAGGGTTGGCCAGAGGACCTCTAGGACAGGGATGAAACTCAAGTCAGCCTTTCAGATCACATCCATCTGTTTTGAAAATGAACTTTAAGGACTGAGTGGTTTTGCCATCTTCTGAGGCTACCCATAAAAGCAATTTGAGGACTCAGTTCTGAGGCGTCAACACAGATCTCATACGCCGCATTCAGTGCATGGTCTAGAATGTCAAGGTCCGGGTGGAGGGTGGAGGGTGGAGGGGATGGAGGGTGGAGGAGGTGGAGTTTCCCAGAACCTTGGATGAATTTCCAGCTCATGCCATTTTCTGGGTATGATGATATTCCCAGTCTCAGACCTCTGTGCCCCCATCAAAGCAGGCTGAGTCAAACTGGTGCACAGAAAGAGAGAGAGAGAGAGAGAGAGAGAAGCTTAAGAGAGGAGCAACAGGCCATGTGCGGTGGCTCACGCCTGTAATCCAAGCACTTTGGGAGGCTGAGGTGGGCGGATCCCCTGAGGTCAGGAGTTTGAACCAGCCTGGCCAACATGATGAAACCCTGTCTCTACTAAAAATACAAAATTACCCAGGTGTGGTGGCACATGCCTGTAATCCCAGCTACTTGGAAGGCTGAGGCAGGAAAATCGCCTGAACCGGGGAGGTAGAGGTTGCAGTGAGCCAAGATTGCGCCATTGCACTCCAGCCTGGGCAACAAGGGTGAAACTCCCGTCTCAAAAAAAAAAAAAAAAAAGAGAGAGAGAAGAGCAACATAGCTGAGTCCTTGTCCTTACTGAAGTCACCAGAAGTCACCAGTCTAGACGGTGCTTGTATGTGACACCAACAACCATTATCTTGGCCTCCTGGGGACCCATTTCACAGGTGAGGACACTGAGACTTCATGAAGCCCTTGCTAAGGAGTCTTAGCCTTGGAGGCGACACTTACCACTGAGCTTGAATCTTCTCAGGATTTGATGTCTGATGACCAACATCAGAGCCTTAATTCTACCACTTCCCAGCTTTGTGCCCTTGGGCAAGTCATGTCACCTCTCTGAGCCTTCCCTAGTTTCCTGATTTGCAAAATTGGAACCAAGTCCACATTCTTCCCTTATCTGCCTGCAGGCTAGTTAGGAAGGCCACATGTCATAAGACTCATTAAAGTACTGGGTAAACAATAAAACATTGGACATATATCACAATTAATATGATTCTTTTACGATTAAATATCATAATTAGGCTGGGCACAGTGGCTCACGCCTGTATTCCCAACACTTTGGGAGGCCAAGGTGGGTGGATCACTTGAGGCCAGGAGTCTGAGACCAGCCTGGCCAACATGGCGAAACCCTGTCTCTATTAAAAATATAAAAATTAGCCTGGCGTGGTGGTAGGCATCTGTAATCCCAGCTACTCGGGAGGCTGAGGCAGAAGAATTGCTTGAAGCCAGGAGACAGAGGTTGCAGTGAGCCAAGGTTGTGACACTGCACTCCAGCCTGGGCAACAGAGCGAGACTCTCAAAAAAAAAACAAAAAAACTCGTAATTATTGGTGGAGGTGCCTAAGGAGGAGCAAAACTGACAATAAAATATATCAGTCCATTAAAGTTTGTAGAGTAATTTAGAAATGATTGGACTTGATGATGAATCCATAGAAAAACACTTTGGCACCCACCCCCCAACCAAAAGCAAAAACAAACAAACAAAAAAACTCACTAAGATGATAGAATAAAACCCAGATAGATGGATTGAACACCAACTTGTGTCCAAGATAAAATGGAAAGGATAAGGCAGATCTTCAAGATAAAATGGAAAGGATAAGTCAGATCTTCATTTGATCATGATCATGGAAGCACTGGAGATTTGGCAGAGTGTGGAAATCCACCAACCAGCCTGGGATATCCCAGGAAGGGCAAGAGCAGAGCTAAAGACGGGAGCTCAGGGCCGCAAACCTCTCCCTGTATTATGACCTGGATGACCACTCCAACTTGCAGGTGAGGAATTCCATGGAGACAGGGCAGGGATGTGGGAGGGTCACTGAAGGTGTTGTGAGTGACTTGTCAGTAATTTTGCCCTACTCAAAATAACCCAGACCAATCCGTTCTTAGGATGCTAGAATAGAGGCCTCATTTTGCACCTTTTTCTGCCAGCCCAGCTGAGTATTTCCAAAGCATATAGAAAGCATCCATTCTATGCTGAGTGTACTTCTCCCTGCTTTGGAGGAGACAGATGGGATTCAGTCTGGCCCTTGCCCAGAGCCTGTAATCCAGTGGGAAGAAAGGAGAGGGACCAGCGTGGGTTGAGTACTGGTTCCAATCTAAGCTCCACATTCAACCCGAGATGCTGCAGGAAGGTGACTCCACCTCTTAGTGCCCCAGTGTCCTCAGCTCAAAATGGGATTTTTTTTTTTTTTTTTTTGAGAAGGAGTCTCACTCTGTCACCCATGCTGGAGTACAGTGGCACGATCTCGGCTCACTGCAACCTCTGCCTCCTAGGTTCAAGTGATTCTCCTGCCTCAGCCTTCCGAGTCGCTAAGACTACAGGCATGCACCACCATGCCCAGCTAATTTTTGTATTTTTAGTAGAGACAGGGTTTCACCATGTTGGCCGGGCCGGTCTCAAACTCCTGACCTCAAGTGATCTGCCTGCCTCTGCCTCCCAAAGTGCTGGGATTACAGTCGTGAGCCACCGTGCCCAGCCTCAAAATGGGATATTCACAGTACCTACTTCATAGAGTCTTTGGGAAGACAACATGAGTTAAGACATATAAAATATACAGAGCAGGGCCTGCGTGACATCTAAAGCCAGGATATTTTAGCCACTATTACAAAGAACATCCCCCTCTTGGGGGATGTTGGAGAGCAGTGCCACTCAAAGTGTTGTCTCTTCACCAGTGCCAGTTTGAGAGCCACCTGTTGTCTGTCTCCAGTGAGTTAAGTACAGAAACTGAACATGAGGTTTCACATATCTGGTCATGGATAGGTTTACACTACTCAGCTGTAGAGTATGGATGGAGAACTGTAACTGCAGCCAGGATGTCTGGGTTCCAGGCCACCTCTGTCCCTTAATATTTTTAGGACCTTCCACATATTTGCCTTTCTGTGCCTCAGTTTCCTCATCTGCAAAATGGGGTGGATAAAAGTACCTGCCTCATAATGTTAGTGTCATCATCACTGCTGCACCGCAGGGTCTGTAATCTGTCCATTATCTCATCAAATCCTGCCAATAACACCATGAGGAAGGGAACAATTCCCATTTTATTCATGAGAACCCTGAGGCTTCCAGAGATAACTTTATTTGCCCAGAGTCCAATAAATGGAGAAGCCTGGATTCAAGTTCAAGTCTGTCCGATACCAACGCCTTTATGCTTATGTAGTGTGACTTTGGGCAGCTGACCACCTCTCCAAGCCTCAGTGCCTTATTTATAAACTGGAGATAAGCAACACTCACTGCACAGGACAGTCGTGAGGATTAGTGAGACACAGTGAGCAAAGAGCTTAGCACAGTTCCCGGCACATCAGCTTCCCCCGCTCCTTCATAGTATTGGCCTGCCTTCCTAATTTCCTTCCTCCCTGCCTTTCCTCCCTCTCTTCCTCCCCCTTTCTTTTCTTCCCTCCTTTCTTCCTTCCTTCCTTTTGCCTCCTCTCGTAAAGCCTGTTGTGGACCCACAAAACTAGAGGGGACTGTTATGGTTGGGTTTGTCCCCAGCAAAACTCATGTTGAAATTTGATCCCCAATGATGTTGGGAGGTGGGGCCTAGCAGAAGGTGTTTGGGTCATGGGTATGGATCCTCCATGAGTGGTTTGGTGTCGTTCTCATGACAGTGAGTTCTTGCTCTGGTAAAACTGGATTAGTCACATGGGAATGGATTAGTTCCTGTGAGGGTGGGTTCTTATAAAGCCAAGACGCCCCTGGGGTTTTGTCTGCTTCCCCTTTGGCCTTCTCCTTCATGTTATGATGCACCAGAAAAATAGGCCTCACCAGAAGCTAGTGCCATGCCCTTGAACTTTCCAGCCTGTAGAACCCTGGGCTAAATAAAACTCTTTCCTCTGGCCGACAGCAGTGGCTTACGCCTGTATCCCAGCACTTTGGAAGGCTGAGGCGGGTGGATCACTTGAGGTCAGGAGTTTGAGACCAGCCTCGCCAACATGGCGAAACCCTGTCTCTACTAAAAATACAAAAAATTAGCCAGCTGAGTTGGCAGGTGCCTGTAATCCAGCTACTTGGGAAGCTGAGGCGGGAAAATCACTTGAACCCGGGAGGTGGAGGTTGCAGTGAGCCGAGATCATGCCACTGCACTCCAGCCTGGGAGACGGAGCAAGACTCCATCTCAAAAACAAACAAACAAACAAAACCACCTCTTTCCTCTATAAGTTACCCAGCCTAAGGTATTCTGTTATAGCAACACAAAAAAAGGACTAAAACAAGGACCTTAATGAAACTCCAGGCCAATATGGCCATTTAACTCTCAAGGGAACTAAGACTCAGAGAGGTTAAAAGATCCACGTGAGGTCACACAGCAGGTTAGTAGCAGATTCAGGAAAAGGACACAGACGTCTGACTCCCAGTTCAGCGCTCTTTCTACAGGTGATACTTAGAAGGCTCCTGAGTGAGTAGAAGGAGCTGCTGAGGCCTGGCCCTAAGGGAACCTTCTGACTCTCTCAATCCTCCCCCCAGCCTCATATTCCTGAAGCCCAACCTGGAGATGCTGGACTTCTTTGACCTGCTATGGATTGTGGGGATCGCAGACTTTGTTCTGAAGTACATCACCATCGCCCTCAAGTGCCTCATCGTGGCCCTGCCCAAGATCATCCTGGCTGTCAAGTCCAAGGTAGGCACTGGCTGCGGCCACAAGGTAGCCCCAGTCACATGGATCATGCAGAGGATTCAGGGTGCCTTCTGAGGAGGAAAGAATGGATGAGGGTGGACTGATGTCAGCATATAAAATAAACAGAGCCTGAGCTCATAGCTCCTGTCACCCACCTCTTCTAATTCCACAAAGCTGAGCATGGCTCTTTGTCATCACCACTTTGTCACACCTCTACTTTCCAAGTGCATTTCCTAAGTTAGGTTGTTCACAGCTACCCTTGATGCAATTTTCATCCACATTTCACCTGAGAGAGGAAAAAAAAGCATGTTAGCATGCCCCGGGACCTGCTTCTCCCAGGGAAGGAGAGCCCTAATAGGTTTTGACTCTTCGTGGCTTCCAGGAGTTCATTTTATAGAGGGGACTGAGGCTCAGAAGGAAAGAGCTCCATGATTGATTAGTGATGTCTGCCACAGACCCTGCAGTGGGGAGTGAGGGCAATGATGCTTTGCAGTGTATCATAGAGAAAGGCCTCCAGGCAGGTGTTGGAATGAAGAGGCCTTGGGGAATAGACATTGGAGTTCAGAGGACTGAGCAGGGCTCAGACAAGGTATCACCTGTAGGACATAGTGATTGCCAGTGGCTCTGTAAGGTGACCCAAAGGGAATCTGGACCGAAGCAGGTGGACTAAAGAGTGTTTGAAGTCTCCTGCTTTCCATTCTGTAAAAACAGCCATCTTTCAAGTTCAGAAAGCTGAGACATGTCCCAGGCATTGCTTGGCAGCAGAGCAGCTTGGAAGTGACCATCGATCTTGAGTGGTAACTAACCCAACCCATAACCCCAATCTTTGGGCCTGTTTTGGTCCTCTCACCTTTCATGTCCACTCCCTTTCTCCACTGTGTGACTTAACATGGTGGTCCCCAACCTTTTTGGCACCAGGAACCGGTTTCATGGAAGACAGTTTTTCCACAGATCAGGGTGGGGATGGTTTCGGAATGAAACTGTTCCACTTCAGATCATCAGGCATTGGATTCTCATAGGGAGCATACAACCTAGATCATCCCTCACATGTGCAGTTCACAATACGGTTCCCACTCCTAGGAGAATCTACTGCCGCAGCTGATCTGATGGGAGGCGGAGCTCAGGCGGTAATGCTTGCTCACCCACTGCTCACCTCCTGCTGTGCGACCTGGTTCCTAACAGGCCACAGTCTAGTACCAGTCTTCAGCCCCAGGACCCCTGGTTTCTAGTTGAGCCAAAATCCTAGGCTGTTGAGGTTTTCTTAGATGAAGCCGCAGCTCTGGTACCCAAAGGCAGTGCCAGGAAACGCAAAATGGCATAAAGACAAAAAAAAAAAAAAGAGATGTGGAGAAGAAAGGCCAGAGGGAAAACAACAGGCCTAGGGAAGTCCTAAGATGCCTCCCATTGACCCTCCCCAAGACCATGAATGACGAGGACCTTTTGCCCATTGAGCTCATGCAGGGTTCCAGGTCGGCACCACGCACTTGACACTGGAAAGCAGCATGGCCTGATGGCTATGCCCATGGACTTTGGCATCAGACACATCTATGTTCAGATCCCAGCCATACGCCTCTCCAGCTGTGTGACTTTGGGCAGGTGACAAAAACCTAGTTTCCTCATCTGTCAACTGAAAATAACAATAGCGCCTTCCTCCAAAGTACTCACTTTGTAAGAACTATTGGTTGTGGGAAATACAGAGTGCTTTGCTCCACGCTCTGCACATAGTAATTGCTCAATGAGTGATTCACAATACCTGTGTTGTCTAATCTTCATGACTGCCAGCTCTGCACTGACTAGCTGTGCAATCTTGGATGAATTACTTAGCCTCAGTGCCCTCATCTGTAAAATGGGGTAATAGTTTTCCAGCTAAATGACTTCCTCTGGCCCTTTCAGCTACACCCTCCATCTTTCTCACCCTGCTCTCTGCCCAGGGGGCTGACCTGCGCGAACTATATCAATGGGCTCCTGTGCCCATCAGCTTCCAGTTGGGTTCAGCTGATGGGAAGCCCAAGAGGAGAGAGAGGCAGAGGTATTTATTCCCCCAGCATGTTAGTCTCCTGTGGCTGCTGTGACAAATTGCTACAAACTTAGTGGTTTAAAGCAACATTAATTTATTATCTTATCGTTCTGGAGGTTAGGAGTCCAAAGTGGGTTTTACTGCGGTGAAAACAGAAGTTTTGGCAGGGCTGTGTTCTTCCTCCGTCTTCCGAGTCAGTGATGGCAGGTTGAGCGTTCTCTCCTCTCTCCCTCTCCCTCCCCCTACACCTCTGCCTTCATTGTCGCATCTCCTGATTCTCGCCCTCCTGCCTTCCTCTTATAAGGACCCTGTGATGACACTGGCCCCACCCGAATAATCTAGGCTCATCTCCCATCCTTAATCACATCAGCAAAGTCTCTTTTGCCACAGAAGGTAACATTCACAGGTTCCAGGCATTAAGGTGTGGACATCGGCTGGGCACGGTGGCTCACGCCTGTAATCCTAGCACTTTGGGAGGAAGAGGCGGGTGGACTGCCTGAGCTCAGCAGTTCAAAACCAGCCTGGGCTACACGGTGAAACCCCGTCTCTACTAAAAATACAAAAAAATTAGCTGGGCGTGGCAGCATGCGCCTGTAGTCCTACTTACTCGGGAGGCTGACGCAGGAGAATTGCTTAAACCCGGGAGGCGGAGGTTGCAGTGAGCCAAGATCGCACCACTGCACTCCAGCTTGGGCGACAGAGCGAGACTCCGTCTCCAAAAAAAAAAAAAAATGTGGACATCATGCCCACTTCAGCAGCACATATACTAAAACTGGAACGATACAGAGATTAGCATGGCCCCTGTGCAAGGATGACACACAAATTCATGAAGCATTCTATATTTTTTTTTAATTAAAAAAAAATAGGGCTGTGTGTGGTGGCTCAATGGCTCAAACCTGTAATCCCAGCACTTTGGGAGGCTGAGGCAGGAAGATTGCTTGAGGCCAGGACTTTGAGACCAGCTTGGGCAAGATAAGCCTGCTGGCGAGACACTCTCTACTAAAAATTTAAAAAATTAGCTGAGTGTGGTGACACATGCCTGCAGTCCCAACTATTTGGGAGCCCAAGATGGGAGGATTGCTTGAGGCCAGGAGTTCCAGGCTTCAGTGAGCCATGATCGTGCCACTGTACTCCAACCTGGGCAACAGAGTGAGACTCTGCCTCTTAAAAAAAATAAAATAAAAAATGTAAATAAAAATAAAATAATTTTCTAAAAGACGTGGACATTTTTGGGTGGGCGCAGCATTCCATTCCCTGCCACACCTGATTTCCTCCCTCCCAGGTTACCATGGGTCAATGCTATTCCTTGTACTTCACACTCAGTAACCCACTGAATCTCTACAACATCCCTGGGAAGCGGGCACTGTTATTCCTACCACCCCCTTTCTCACATGCCGAAAATAAGTCTGAACACACAGTTCCTATCACAGGCAGCTCCTCCAGACAGCTTTCTATCCAGGTCTGGTAACTGTGCCCTCCTCGTACCCTTCTAGACTAGACCACTCCTTGTTGGTTTCCCCAAACCCTGCCCGCACCTTTGTAAATAGCACAGGTATTAAACTCTTCAGTTACCTGATTTTAGTATGCCAGGACCCTACTCACTCTACCATGAGACTTCCCTCATGGCGAGAACAGAGTTTATGAATATTCAGGGCTGGCCTGGCTCATCATAAGTGCTCAATACATGTTGGCTACCAGGGTGATGCTTTTAAATCACTACTATGCCCATCTTTCCTCCTCCTACTGCTGCTACCACCCGGTAGGAGATACACACTCTTATACCCATTTTACAGACAAAGACATTGAGGCTCAGAGATCCCCTCATAGACACTTGTCAGAATGAGGATTTGAACTCAGGTCTGCCTTATGCCAAACCCAAGGGTTTCTCCCAGCTGTCTGACCTCTGAGAATCCTAGCCAGGTGATTATTTCCATAGCTTTGTGTGCCCCTACACTGGCTTCGTGTTCTTGGGCTGGCAACCCTAGGGGGATGCTTCTGGTTGGCCTCCTCCTTGAAACATCTGCTCAGGCCTCACTCCCTTGTTAGATAATGACAGGTCTGGCCAGTGAAGGTCTGAGAGCTATACTGTCGGCTTCCTGGGGACCACATATGTTGACCAGGAATAGGCTGCAGCCATCAGCTGCCTCGTCAAGGTGGACCAGCTCCTGCAAGGCGACACAGGTTGCAGCCACCTGCAGGCACAAGGCACATCATCCTCACTTGAGCAATAACACCCCTCCCTGTGCCCAGCTACAGCCAAGCTCTGACCCCAGGAACCCAGGATGGGAAGGAGCCTGGACTGAAGCCAGTGCTGAGAAGTGGCAATGTCTTCCACCTTTCCTTAGCACCTGTTGGCTGCTGGAATCTTGTTGGCTCTCCACAGCCAGCCAGGTCAGACAGAGGAGCAAGACAGGCGGAGCCCACAGAGTGCTAAGTGACACTTGAGAACAGATTGTCAACAACGGATCATTTTTCTGCCTGTTCTAGTTAGGACCAGGAATAACAACTGTAATAGCAAACTCTTAGAGGCCGCTTAACCGTGTACTGGCCACTGTCCCAAGTACTTTACATGTACAAACTCATTGAGTCATGACCACATCCCTGTGAACAGGGTCCTGTTATTACCACCATCCCATTTTCACAGATGTAGAAGCTACAGCACAGCACAGAGAGGTTCAGTGACTTGTCCAAGGCCACACAGCTAGAAATTGAAGAGCAAAGTCAGACCACCAGGCAGTCAGGCCCCTGAGTCTGAGCTCTTAATCTGTCTGCTGTAGTCAGAACAGAGATGCTGTCCAGTTACTGCACGGGGCATTGTACAGATTCACTTCTGTAAGTAGACTCAGAGATGAGAGTACAAAGCTAGACCAAGGCTTCCTAGCAGTCTCCCTGGCTCTCACTGCAGCTCACGGTCTGTGGTAGGCAGCATCCGCCGCACGTGTCGTGTCCTCTTACAATTCCCCAGTTCAGCTCTTGGGAGAAGGTCTGATTGGCCCCGGTCATTTTGTGTACCAGCTATTTCATAGGTCAGCAGCTGGCCAATGAATGGGCTGCACATGGTCATGTGCCTAGTCCTTATCCAATCAACTGTTGCCAAGGAGGAGGCAATGTCAGCTGGTACGAAAAAACATGGCTGCCTAGGGAGGCTCTTTCATCTGGGGCCTGGGTTGAACCAGGCAAAGCAATGAGGCATAGTAGACCCATTTTCAAGAAGGAACTCAGGATCTTCCCCAAAGCCTGGGCTTCTTCTCATTGTTCTAGATCTCAGAGTGTAGCACCTCCCTCCACCCCACTGTTCACATCAATAACCTGGAAAGGACCTCTAACTCTTCCTCTTTCTTCCTTGCTTCTTCCAGTCAGCAACCAAGTTCTGTTCATTTTGCCTCCCCAGTGACGTGGGAGCCCATCCTCCTTCTATATCTCCACCGTCACCACCCTAGTGCTCGCCACCATGAGACCAAAGTAGTCTCCCTCTGTGTGTCCACTCCAACCCCCTCCACTTCATTCTTTTCCCTGCCAGCGGAGCAGGACTCTAAAAGAAAATTAATCTGATTGTCCTCTCCTATCACTTCCCCTCACCTTCACCCAATTTAAACCCTCCAGGGGCTGCCCTTGTGCTCAGGACAAAGACCAAGCTCCACAGGTGAGGCTACAAAGCCTACCCAGCCTGCCTCTGCCCCTGCCACCAGCATCACGCCCTGACACGCCTTGGTTCCCCCTCTGTTTCTTCCCTCTGCCCTCCTCCCTCCTGTCTCGGCCTCTTGCACATGCCCTTCAGACCCCCAGAGATGCTCCTTCTCTAATGGATCCTTGAGGCGTCAGTTCAGAAGTCTCTTCTAGATCCCCCTAAGTCCAGTTCTTTCATAGCATTTGTGATTACCTACTTCTGTGTGTGTGTGTGTGTGTGTGTGTGGCGGGGGGGGGTTGTTTGTTTGTTTTGTTTTGTTTGAGACAAGGTCTTGCTCTGCTTCCCAGGCTGGAGTACAGAGGCGCAATCACAGTTCACTGCAGCCTCAACCTCCCGGGCTCAAGTGATCCTCCCAGCTCAGCCTCCTGAGTAGCTGGGACTGCTCAGTGCACCACCAAGCCTGGCTAATTTTTTAATTCTTCTTGGGGATGGAGTCTCACTTTGTTGCCCAGGTTAGTCTTGAACTCCTGGGCTCAAGTGATTTTCCTGTTTCAGCCTTCCAAAGTACTTGTGTAATTATTACATTCATTCCTGCCTCCTCACTATTTGAAAAGTCTGTTTGGCCCACCAGTGTATCTGTAAGACCCGGCCCAGCACTGGGCACTGGGCAGAGCTCTGTAAACGGTGAGTAAGTGAAATGGCAGAGAAACTGAAGTTAGCTCAATCCTGCCCTGTGCCTTCTGGTTTATTTTCAGCAGACGAAAATAAAACAGGAAAGCCAGGCATTGTGGCTCACACCTGTAATCCCAGCACTTTGGGAGGCCAAGATGGGTGGATCGCTCGAGTTCATGAGTTCGAGACAAGCCTGGGCAGCATGGTGAAACCCTGTCTCTACAAAAAATACAAAAAAAAATTGGCCTGATGTGGTGTACATGACTGTAGTCCCAGCTACTCAGGAGGTTGAGGTGGGAAGATTGCTTGAGCCCAGGAGGCAGAGGTTGCAGTGAGCTGAGACCGCGCCACTGCACTCCAGCCTCGGCAATAGAGCCAGCCTCTCAGTATTCTTCTGACATAGGTGCTGATTACTCTTATCAATGGATGAGGCGATGGAGGTTAAGAGATCAGGTAGTTCTTTTTTTTTTTTTTTTGAGACAGAGTTTCACTTTTGTCCCCCAGGCTGGAGTGCAATGGCGTGACTTCTGCTCACTGCAACCTCCACCTCCCAGGTTCAAGGTATTCTCCTGCCTCAGCCTCCCAAGTAGCTGGGATTATAGACACGTGCCACCACGCCTGGGTAATTTTTGTATTTTTAGTTTGACCATATTGGCCAGGCTGGTCTCGAACTCCTGACTTCAGGTGATCCACCCACCTCGGCCTCCCAAAGTGCTGGGATTACAGGCATGAGCCACCGCGCCCGGCCGAGATCGGGTAGTTCTTACAGTCATGCAGCTGCTCGGTGGTGGGGTCAGGATGACAGCACAGGTCTTTACAACTTCAAGACTCCAGCTCTACCTCAAAGGAGTGGGTTTGGGACAAGATAAGGAAGGCATTTGAGGTTACTCATCACCTGGCGCCTTCTGGGTTCTGTCTAGATTCTTTCTCATAGTCCAGCTCTTCCAAGGCTCTCAATACCCCTGTAAGATACAATTCACTGTCACCTCTTTCTGGATGAAAAACTATTAGTTTCCTGTGGTTGCAGTAACGAAATACCACAAACTTGGTGGCTTGAAATAACAGAAATTTGTTCTCTCACAGTTCTGGAAGCCAGAAATCCAAAATCAGTGTCACTGAGCCAAAATCAAGGTGTCAGCGGGGCTGCACTGCCTCCGGAGGCTCAAGGAGAGAATCTGATCCTTGCCTCTTCGGGCTTCTGGTGGCTCCTGGTGTCTTTGGCTTGTGGCTGTGTCACTCCAGTCTCTGCCCCCATGGCCACATGGTCTTCTCCTCTTCTGTGAATGATGCCTCTCTCTGCCTCTCTCTTATAAGGACACATGTAACGGTATTTTGGGCCCAGCTGGATAAGGCAGGGTAACCTCCCCATGCCGATATCCTTAATCACATCTGCAAAGACATGATTATTTTCTAAATAATGTCACATTCACAGCTTCCTGGTATCCTTGAGTGGCCGTTATTTCCTTTACTACACTGAGGCTGAAAGAGAGGTGAGATAGTTTGTCCAAAAAACACCCAGTTGCTCAGTTATAGAATCAAAATGAAAATCCAACTCTTCCAACTCCCAAGCCCGTGGCTACTTCTGAGGACCAGGAGATCATCTGCCAGATCGGCCAGGTGCTAGAGGGCCTAGGCCATTCCTAACCTGCAATTTTCCAGCCATGGTGCCTTGAGCAAGTCGCTTAATGTGAGCATTTTCCTCCTGCAGAAAATCGAGATGTTAACAGTAGCGTTCTTTAGATACTGTAAAGGTAAAAAGACTTGACAGGGCACAGTGGCTCACACCTGTAATCCCTGTTTTGGGAGGCCAAAGTGAGAAGGTTGCTTGAGGCCAAGAGTTTGAGACTAGCCTGGGCAACACAGCAAGATGCCATCTTTATAATAAAAATAAAAATAAAAATCAATTAGCTGGGCATGGTGGAACGCACCTGTAGTCCCAGCCAATTGAGAGGCTGAAGTGGGAGGATCATTGAGCCCAGGAGTTGAGGTTGCAGTGAGCCATGATCATGTCACTACACTCAGCCTGGGCAATAGAGGGACATGTTGTCTCTAAAAGAAAAAAAAAAAAAAAGATATAATGTGTATAATGTGTGTATGAAGAGTTATCACCTAGAGAGGAGGCAGGTGAGGCTTTGTGGACCATCATCATGGGTCCCACCTCCCTGTCTGGCATCTTACTTACTCATCCCTCTCCCTCTTTCACTCCCTTACTCTTACTCTGTTTTTTGTGCTCCAGACAGACAGACCCTACCTCTTTTGCTTCTTTTTTGTTTGTTTGTTTTGAGATGGAGTGTCGCTCTTGTTGCCCAGGCTGGAGTGCAATGGCGCAATCTCGGCTCACCACAACCTCTGCCTCCCGGGTTCAAGCAATTCTCCTGCCTCAGCCTCCCGAGAAGCTGGGATTACAGGCATGCGCCACCACACCCAGCTAATTTTATATTTTTAGTAGAGATGGTGTTTCTCCATGTTGGTCAGGCTGGCCTCAAACTCCCAACCTCAGGTGATCCGCCTGCTTTGGCCTCCCAAAGTGCTGGGATTACAGGCGTGAGCCACTGCGCCCAGCCTCTTTTGCTCCTTTATACTCATTAACTCGCCCCATTCTGCAGCATCCCTATGTGGTAGATGCTGTTCTTATCCCATTTTCCAGATGAGAAAATTGAGGCACTGAGACATTGAGAAACTAACCTACAATCTTCTAGAGTGGGCTGCTTGCTGCCCTGTCTCCCACCTGCACCTACTGATTCATCTGCCTCAAAGAGCCTTCCCTCTTTCTCATGTCTTGATAACTCCTGTTCTTTCTGCAGATCACTGCCTCTTAGAAACCTACCCTGCCTCTTCAGGCTAGGTGTGGTGCTCCCACGAGGACTCCTACAGCACCCTATACTTCCCCTATTCTGGCACCCACCACTCTGACTGTAATTGTTTGTTTAAATGTCTGCCTTCTCTGCTTGATTGTAACCTCTGTGACAGCAGGAAATGAATGCATCCAGTTTGTTTGTTGATGGATCATCAGTATCTGCTGTGTATCCAGAAGTGTTCATTGTATGTATGTAAGTATGTATACATGTGTGTTTGAGTGGGTAGATGGATGGGTGAATGGATATATAGGTAGGTAGATAGATGAATTAGATGATCATCTGGGAAGTTTGGTGGATGGATGGATAGATGGATGGATGGATGGATGGATAAATGGGAGGAGAGTGGATGGATGAATGGGTAGGTGGATGGGTAAATGGGAGGAGAGTGATGGATGGATGGTGGATGGATGGATGGATAGATAAATGGGAGGAGAGGGATGGATGGATGGATGGATGGATGGATGGGTAGATAAATGAGAGGAGAGTAGATGGATGGATGGGTGGATGGGTAAATGGGAGGAGAGTAGATGGATGGATGGATGGGTGGATGGGTAAATGGGAGGAGAGTGGATGGATGGATGGGTAGATGGAAGGAGAGTGGATGGGTGGATGGGTAAATGAGAGGAGAGTGAGTAGATGGATAGATGGGTGGATGGGTAAATGGTAGGAGAGTGGTGGGTGGATGGATGGTAGATGGGTAAATGGGAGGAGAGTAGATGGATGGGTGGATGGGTAAATGGGAGAAGAGTAGATGGATGGATGGATGGGTGGGTGGATGGGTAAATGGGAGGAGAGTGGATGGATGGATGGGTAAATGGAAAGAGAGTGGATGGGTGGATGGGTAAATGGGAGGAGAGTGAGTAGATGGATAGATGAGTGGATGAGTAAATGGTAGGAGAGTGGTGGGTGGATGGATGGTAGATGGATGGATGGATGGATGGATGGGTGGATGGGTAAATGGGAGGAGAGTGGATGGGTGGATGGGTAAATGGGAGGAGAGTGGATGGGTGGATGGGTAAATGGGAGGAGAGTGAGTAGATGGATAGATGAGTGGATGGGTAAATGGTAGGAGAGTGGTGGGTGGATGGATGGTAGATGGATGGATGGGAGGAGAGTGGATGGATGGATGGATGGATGGATGGATGGATAAATGGGAGGAGAGTAGAGGGATGGATGGGTGGATGGATAAATGGGAGAAGAGTAGATGGATGGATGGATGGGTGGATGGGTAAATGGGAGGAGAGTGGATGGATGGATGGGTAAATGGAAGGAGAGTGGATGGGTAAATGGAAGGAGAGTGGATGGGTGGATGGGTAAATGGGAGGAGAGTGAGTAGATGGATAGATGGGTGGATGGGTAAATGGTAGGAGAGTGGTGGGTGGATGGATGGTAGATGGATGGATGGGAGGAGAGTGGATGGATGGATGGTGGATGGGTGGGTGGATGGATGGATGGATGGATGGATGGATGGATAGTCTAATCAGTTGTAATAACTCACTACCTCCTCTTACAGCAACAGCAAGAGCTTGGATTTCATTTTCAGCTCAGCTCAAACCTCTTATATTTGGTAGGTGTCAAAACACTTCTTTCATGAAGACACAAAAACCTATAAGCAAAGTAGCACTCACTTCTCTGTGCTAGAAAAGACCATATAGGGCCTTTGAAAGAAATCTGGCAGCCACACTTATAATAATAAACATGGCTAAATATTGCTGAGCATTTATTATGAGGCAATGTGTTAAGCAATGCCATTTGTTCAAGAAATATTTACTGAATGCCAGCTACATGCCCCACTCTGTTCTAAACTCTGAGGATACATCAGTGAACCAGTAAATAGAAACCCCTGTATTCGTGAGTTTATATCCTCTTAAAGACATTGTCTCATTTAATCTTAACAGTCCCAGGAGGGTAGATGCTGTTGATATCTCTTTTCACAGAGAGGAAACTGAGTTAAATAACTTGCAAAAGAGCGCAAACCTTGCAGTAACAAACTTATAGCAGCGGGAGCAGCCAGTGTGGGGCCAGCCTTTCACATGGGCAGGCAGGGCTCTAATTCATTTCCATCTGATGTCAGCCTCATGAGGGAAATGCTGTTGTCTTGATTTTTTGTTTTCTTATTGAGATACAATTCACGTAACATAAAATTAACCATTAGGCTGGGCTCAATGGCTCATGCCTGTTATCCCAGCACTTTGGGAGGCCAAGTTGGGAGGATCTCTTGAGCCCAGGAGTTCAATACCAGCTTGGGCAACATGGTGAAACCCTGTCTCCACCAAAATACAAAGATTTAGCCGAGCATGGTGGCACTCACCTGTAGTCCCAGCTACTTGGGAGGCTGAAGTGGGAGGATCACTTAAGCCTAATAAGGTTAAGGCTGCTGCAGTGAACCCTGATCGCAGCACTGCACTCCAGCCTAGGCAACAGAGGGAGACCCTGTCTGAAAAAAATAAAATAAAACAATAAAAATAAACCATTAATCATTTTAGAGTATGCCATTCAGTGGCGTTTAGTACATTCACAGTGTTGTACAACCACCACCTCTGTCTAGTTCCAAGACATTCTCATCACACCAGAAGGAAACCTTGTCCCCACTAAGCAGTCACATTCCATTCCCGCTTCCCACAAGCTCCTGGCAACTGCCAATCTGCTTTTCATCTCTATGGATTTGCCTATGCTGGACATTTTGTGTAAGTGGAATAATACCCTATGTGGCCTTTTGTGTCTGGCTTCTCTCATGCCGTGCTATGTTTTCGAGGTTCATCCATGTTGTAGCATGTATCAGCACTTCATTTCTTCTTTTTCTTTTTTGAGACGGAGTCTCACCGTGTTGCCCAGGCTTTAGTGGAGCATCATGATCTTGGCTCACTGCAACCTCTGCCTCCCGGGTTCAAGCAATTCTCCTGCCTCAGCCCCCAAGAGTAGCTGGGATTACAGGAGTGCGCCACCAGGCCTGGCTAATGTTTGTATTTTAGAGAGATGGGGTTTCGCCATGTAGGCCAGCCTGGTCTGAGACTCCTGACCTCAGGTGATCTGCCCACCTCGGCCTCCCAAAGTGCTGGAATTACAGGCATGAGCCACCATGCCCGGCTTTCATTCCTTCTTATGGCTAAATAATATTCCATTGTGTGGATAGACTACAATTTGTTTAGCCATTCCTCTGTCAATGGACATCTAGGCTGTTTTTGCTTTTTGGCTATTGTGAATAGTGCTGCTGTGAGCTTTCGCAGACAAGTATCTGTTTGAACATAATTTTTGTGGTAAATACATAGGCAGAGAATTCTGGATCATGCTGTAATCCTATGTTGAACCTTTTGAGGAACTGTCAAACCTTCCCACAGTGCCTGCACCATTTCACATGCCCAGCGGAAGAAAATGAAAACAGCCAGAGGCTAAGAAAGTAGCCCAAAGCCACATAGCTCACAAGTGGCTATGTGGAGATTTGAACTCAGGCAGTCCTCCTGCTCCAGAACTGCTACCCTGAATTATTAGACCGCGGTCCTTCCCGTGTATGTTCCCTGAATTCCTTTGGAAAATTTTCTTTTTTGTTTTTTGAGACAGAGTCTCTGTTGCTCAAGCTGGAGTTCAGTGGCACAATTTTGGCTCACAGCAACCTCCACCTCCCAGGTTCAAGCAATTCTCCTGACTCAGCCTCCTGAGTAGCTGGGATTACAGCTGTGCACCACCACGCCCAGCTAATTTTTGTATTTTTAGTAGAGACGGGGTTTCACCATGTTGGCCAGGCTGGTCTTGAACTCCTGACCTCAGGTGATCTGCCCACCTCGGCCTCCCAAAGTGCTGGGATTACAGGTATGAGCCACTGCGCCCAGCCTAGAAAATTTCTGAGAATTAATTTTGGAGAAAAGTCCTCCTAAACCATTCACATAAAATTCCCCCAAGTCCAGGCCAGAGCTACCTCACTTCCTTCTCCTTGAAACGGACACTGCTAGGGCCGAGGAGGCGGGGATGGACCCAGCACCCCTTTCTTGCGCCTCCGAGCTGTGGGCAACAGTTATTAATGCCTCCCTGGCAACTGTCCAGCTCCCTTTTTTTGATGATGATTATTTTATTCGGTGAGATTAATGTGCCAGGTCAGCGCGTAATCTAGCCTGTAGAAAGTGATGTGAATAGTCTTCCCCAAGATAAATTGCAGGCTTGGAAAAGGTTCACAGCCTTCCCTTGCCTGTCTGAGTGCTCTCCCGAATCCTCATCAATCCTTGTCTGTGGAGAAGAAAAGGATGGGTTTTCATCTGCAGCGGGGGGAAGACACATTTGTCAGAGACCCCTAATGGCTCACGGCACAGATGCTCTTTGCTGGGCCTCCGCACCATCCACTGAGAAGGTGGGTTGGTTTTAATATTATAATTATTATATTGAAAGTGCTTTTGCTATTTGGGTCGGTTGATGGCCCTGACGTGTGAGGTTGGGTGAGCCACCTTGTCTAGGGACTTTGGGAATCTCTCCATTTTCTGCCTTTCTTAATCATCCCGCTGCCAATGCCAATTCCCACGTGCCTTGCAACGCTGGAGGGTCTGTCAGGAATCCTCATACCTGGGCCTTCTAGGAGAACTGGGCTTCCTGGCCAGCCAAGACGGGTTAAAGGTGGCATTGACTGATCTTCAACCTCAGCCCCAAAACCATCACACTGGCCAGGTGTCTTGAGCTGCCACTTGTCATTACATATCCAGATAGCTTTTTTTTTTTTTTTTTTTGAGGCAGGGTTTCATTGTCCAGGCTGGAGTGCAGTGGCGTGATCTCAGCTTACCACAACCTTGACCTCCTGGACTCCAGTGACCCTCCCACCTCAGTGTCCCACATGCCACCATGCCCAGCTAATTTTTAAAATTTTTGTAGAGACAGGGTCTCACTGTCTTGCCCCAGGCTGGTCTCGAACTCCTGGGCTCAAGTGCTCCTCCCACCTCAGCCTCCCAGAGTGCTGGGATTACAGGCGTGAGCCACTGTGCCTGGTCCAGAAAACTTCTATATAGCTCATATGTGTTGCATTTGCCTGGCCTGGCTCCTACTCCACCTCTCCGACATCATCACCCATGACTCTGTCTCTTGCTCACTCAGGACCAGCCATGCTGGTGACTTCTTGGTGCCTCCAAAGCACCCAGCGCCTTCCTTCTCAGGCTTTTGTTCTTGCTGTTCCCTCTGCTGGGAGCAGTTTTTTCCTGGATGTTTCCATGGCTGTCTCCTTCCCATCACTTGGATCTCGACTCCAATGTCACCACCTCTGGAAAGTCCTTCCTAACCACCCTGCTGAGAGTGCTTTTCTCCAACCTGCAGTATTCCACCATCATTTTATATCTTTCCTAGCATATACCAGTATCTGAAATAATCAGATTGTTTGTCTTTATTTATTTTCTGTCCTTCCCCACTAGAATGTGAACTCATGTGAGCAAAGACCCCTAGGTTGCTCTTGACTCACAGGGAATGTACCACTGTGGGCTGAATTCAGAGTTTCTCTGGGTGCTGTGGCTCACGCCTGTAATCCCAGCACTTTGAGAGTGTGAGGTGGGAGGATCACTTGAGCCTAGGAGTTCGAGACCAGCCTGGCAACAAAGTGAGACCCTGTCTCTATAAAAAACTAAAAACGTATCCAAGCATAGTGTCATGCACCTGCAGTCCCAGCTATTTAGGAGGCTGAGGTGGGAAGATTGCTTGAGCCAAGCAGGTTGAGGCTGCAGTGAGCAATGACTGGGCCACTGTACTTCAGCCTGAGCAACAGAATGAGATCCTGTCTCAAAAAAAAGCCTGATATTAATGATCTATTAGAAGGTTTAAAACCAGGCCAGGGCTGGGCATAGTGGTTCACGTTTGTAATCCCAGCACTTTGGGAGGCCAAGGCAGGCGGATCCCTTGAGGTCAGGAGTTCGAGACTAGCCTAGCCAATGTGGCAAAATCCTGTCTCTACTAAAAACACAAAAATTAGTCAGGTGTGGTGGTGCACACCTGCAATCCCAGCTACGCGGGAGGCTGAGGTGGGAGGATTGCTTGAACCCGGGAGGGGGAGGCTGCAGTGAGCCGAGATTGTGCCACTGCACTCCAGCCTGGGTGACAGAGTGAGACTTTGTCTCAAAAAACAAAAGAAAGGAAAGAAAGGGAAGAGAAGGGGAGGGGAGGGGAGAAGGAAGGAAGGAAGGGAGGAAGGAAGGGAGGGAGGGAGGGAGGGAAGGGAAGGGAGGAAAGAAAGAAAGAAATGAATTACTCTTAGCCCAAGATCCCAGAGCTATGCTGTCTAATATAGTAGCTAAAAAAACAAAACCAGGCCTGCTTATTTCCCACCGCATGGAGTTCGGCTCGGCCACTGCCCCTGTCTCACCAATTTCACTGATGTTATTCAGGACCTGTTTGCTTACAGGGGCAATGCTAGATCCTGAGAATATAAAAGTGAGTAAGACATCATCGTAACCTTTGTCCACTTACTTGATTCTCTGTGAATGAAACTTGGTTTTATATTAACTTAGCCCAAACCTTGGTAAGAAGGCAAATCCTCTGTCCCAGAAACATACATAGAAATATATCATATACTCCTACTTCTATAATACTAATACTAATTATTAAACATTTGATGTGTCCACATTGCCTCTTTATGAAAATGAAGGCCGGGCCCGGTGGCTCATGCCTGTAATCCCAGCACTTTGGGAGGCCAAGACAGGTGGATCACCTGGGGTCAGGAGTTCGACACCAGCCTGGCCAACATGGCAAAACCCTATCTCTACCATAAAAATACAAAAATTAGCCGGGTGTGGTGGCATGTGCCTGTAATCCCAGCTACTCCAGAGGCTGAGTCAGAAGAATCGCTTGAACCCAGGAGGCAGAGGTTGCAGTGAGCCGAGGTCACACCACTGCACTCCAGCCTGGGCGGCAGAGTGAGACTCCATCTCCAGAAAAAAAAAAAAAGAAAGAAGAAAGAAAATGAATTCCCCTTAGCCCAAGATCCGGGAACTGCGCTGTCTAATATAGTAGCTACAGGCCACATGTGGCTCTCTAAATTTAAATTAATTATGTTTAAAATTGAGTTCCTCAGTTGCACCAACCACGTTTCAAGGGCTCAAACGCAGAAATGGCTCACGGCTACTAGGGTAGACAATGTAGAGGTAGAATATTTCCATCCATGCAGAAAACGCTGTTCTAGAATGTTCTTAGGACAAAGTTTAATTCAGCTTCCCAAAAGTACAGGTAGCAGATGGAGAAACATAAAAGCGGGCCCTTCCCTAAGAACTCTCTACAAGTCCCCTGTTCAGGGAGACAGCACTGCAGAGTAGAAAGAACACAGCTGGAGTCAACGAAACTGGGGTCAAATCCTGGCTTCCTGACTTATTCCCCAGGTAACCTTGGCTGCTCTTTTGAGGCTCCCAGCTTCTTCATCTCTCCAGTGGTCATTTCTTTTTCTTTTTCTTTTTGAGACAGAGTCTCACTCTGTCACCCAGGCTGGAGTGCAGTGGTGCAATCTCGGCTCACTGAAACCTCTGCCTCCCGGGTTCAAGTGATTCTCCTGCCTCAGCCTCCCAAGTAGCTGATATTACAGGCGCCCACCACCACACCCAGCTAACTTTTGTATTTTTAGTAGAGAAGGGTTTTCACCATTTTGGCCAGGGTAGTCTTGAACTCCCGACCTCAAGTGATCCACCTGCCTCAGCTTCCCAAAGTGCTGGGATTACAGGTGTGAGCCACCATGCCCAGCCTCTCCAGTGGTCATTTCTGTCTCTTTAAGGTTATCATAAGGTGCAAGGTCAGGTATCTCATTGCTGGGTGGTTACTAGGACTGGTTGTATCAGAAACAAGGAAAGGCTTAGCTGAACTGATTTCTCTGAATAACACAGCATTTGACCAACTTGCCATCTTTTCCATGAGGACAGGGAGGAGGAAGCCCTTCCATATCCTGAATCATCTTAACTAAGTTCTAGCTCAGTAGGCTCAGCCAAATCCCTGGACAAGAGGTTCCAGTAGGGTGAGATTCCATAGGCTCTCAATCCTATTGGTTTTTCTCTAAGCACAGGGACGGGGAGGGAAGGTGGACAAAAATAAGAAAGGTGGTCTTCTCTGACATGAGAACCAAGAGGATTCATGGGGCTTTCAGTGCCATTAAAATCTCTACATTTTCCAGGCCCTGAACCCAGCACTTTTGCTCTCAAAGTGGTTTCCCATTGTTGGAGGCATCTTCGCTCCTGGAGGTCATACCTTCCCCTCTCCCCGCCTTCCCTTCTCCCAATCAGACATCTGTCTATGCTGGGGCAGGTCTGAGTATTCTAAGCCTCAGCTATGGTTTTGGCTGCATAACATTCTGTGTGTAAAGACACAGTGCCCCATCCTGGAATAAGAACTTCGAGAAGAGCCAGCCACACTGGTTCCAACTACCCACACACAGGGGCTGGAAGAAGGTTAAGTAGTGATTCCCAACTAGGGGGCTGTGGTAATTTCTGGATCATTTTTAGTTGGCACCATTGGAGGGGGTGTGCTACTGGTATTTAGTGGACAGAGACCAGGGGTGCTGCTGAATATTCTACAGTGCACAGGACAGCCCTCTACTGCAACCCAGAGTTATCCAGCCCTAAATGTCAGCAGTGCTGAAGTTGAGGAACTCTGGGTTAAATGTGTGCCTTATGGAACTGGGTCAGCTCCCCAAATGTTATGGATTGAACTGTGCTCCCCGAATGTTATGGACTGAACTGTGCCCCCCAAAATATGTGTGTTGGAGTCCAAACCCCAGGACCTCAGAATTTGGCTATATTTGGAAATAGGGTCTATAAAGATGGCCAGGCTCTGTGGGTCATTCCTGTAATCCCAGCACTTTGGGAGGCTGAGGCAGGTGGATCACTTGAGGTCAGAAGTTCAAGACCAGCCTAGCCAACATGGTGAAACCCTGTCTCTACTAAAAATACAAAAATTAGCCAGGTTTGGTGGCGTGTGCCTGTAATCCCAGTACTTGGGAGACTGAGGCAGGAGACTCACTTGAACCCGGGAGGTGGAGGTTGCAGCTGAGATGATGCCACTGCACTCCAGCCTGTCTATCTCAAAAAAAAAAAAAAAGTTATTAAGTTAGAGTGAGGTCACTAGTGATGCAAGGCAGGCAAGCCCCAAAGAGGGGCTTAGACTGTGAGGGTTCTTGGCTTTGCCCAAGAGAATTCAAGGGTGAGCCAGTGGTAGGGTAGAAGAAGGTAGCTTTATTGAAGAGGCGTTACAGCTCAGGCAGTGTTACAGCACCGTGACTACTCCTGCAGAGCAGGGCTGCCCCATAGGCAGAGAGTAGCACCTCAGGGCAATTTTGCAGCCATATTTATACCTACTTTTAATTACATGTAGATTAAGGGGCAGTTTATGCAGAAATTTCCAGGGAAGGGGTAGTCACTTTTGGGTCACTGGGTGATGGTCATGGAAAGCGGTGGTAACTCCTGGGTTTTGCCATGGCAATGGTAAACTAACATGGCATACTGTTGGGCATGGCTTATGGAAAGCTGCCTCCACCCTGTCCCTGTTCTAGCTAGCTCTCAACTTGGCCCCATATCTGAGCCCCATCTCTGGAGTCAAGTCCCGCCTGCTACCTCACTAGGACGGGCCCTGGTCCAATAGGACTGGTGTCCTTGTAAAGGAGATTTGGAACACTGACAGGCACAGAGGAAAGATCACGTGAGGACACAGAGAAAATAGCCACCTACAAGCCAAGGAGAGAGAGGCCTGGGAAACAGAACGAGACTCTGTCTCAAAAAAAAAAAAGAAGCAGCAGCAGCAGCAAATATATGTGCGTGTTCTTTTTACTCACCTTTATATATTCAAATAGAATAGTAACATTCTATATACAGCTCCCACGTTGCTTTTATTATCCATCTATCTTAGAGATTGTTCGGATAAATACATAGAGAAAACACTGCACAGTGGTTAAATGCATGGACCCTGGAGCCAGATTGCCTGTGTTCAAATCCTGTTTGAGAAACCCTCTGCCATTTACCAGCTTTGGGACCTTAGCAAGGTAGTTTGCATCTCTCGCATTCATTTTCTCATCTGTAAAATGGGATCATAATAGTACCTATCTGCATTAGGTTTTTTTTATTTTTATTTTTTATATTTTTGAGACAGAGTCTCTGTCACCCAGGTTGGAGTGCAGTGGCGTGATCTCAGCTCACTGCAACCTCAGCCTCCCAGGCTGAAGTGATTCTCCCGCCTCAGCCTCCTGAATCTGGGACCACAGATGTGTGCCACCATGCCCAGCTAATTTTTCATATATTTCTTTTTTTGGTAGAGACGGGGTTTCACCATGTTGCCCAGGCTGGGCTCGAACTCCTAAGCTCAAGCGATCTACCTGCCTCCGCCTCCAAGTGCTGATTACAGACATGAGCCACTGTGCCTGGTCCAATCATAACAGTACCTACATGTGTTAGTTTTCATTTACTGCCTAACAAATGACCACTGACTTAGTGGCTTAGAAAACACTCATTTATGAGTTCACAGTTCTGTAGGTCAGCAGTCCAGGTCAGCTTGATTGAGTTTTCTACAAAGGGTCTCACAAGGCCAAAAACAAGGTGTTGGCCAGGCTGGGCTCTTATCTGGAGGTTCTGGAGACAAGTCTACTTCCAGGCTCATTAAGGTTGTTGGCAGAATCAGTTCTGTGTGATCGTAGGACTTGAGGTCCTCCATCCTTGCTGGCTGCCATCCAGGTCACTCTCAGCTCCTAGAAGCCACGCTCCAGTCCTTGTACACAGTTGCCACCATCTTCAAGCCAAAAGCAGAGTGCTATTCTTGTGTCTGACATTTCTCTGACTTCCTTTTCCCCAAGCCCAAGAAAACTCTGCTTTTAAAGGGCTTAGGTGATTAAATTAGACTCACTGGGACAGCCTGCTAACCAACTAAAGGGTAACTGATTAGTAACCTCAATTATATCTCCAAAATCCCTTTTATCGTGTAGCCTGTAATATGATCTAGATGTGATATTTCATTACCTTCGTAGTACTGGGCATTAAGATGGGAAATTTTGCTGGGTGCCCACCGCACTATCTCAGAGGGTTGTTGTGAAAATGCAATTGCACATCTCTTAGTATGCAGTATTTATAAGTTAGCTGTGTTTTTTTTTAACAGCGGTTGTGTGTATTATGGAAGTTGTTTGGATTTATCAAGGATTTTTTAAAGGGATTCCTCAGCTGGGCACGATGGCTCATGCCTGTAATCCCTTTTTTTGGTAGAGACGGGGTTTCACCATGGGAGGCTGATGTGGGCAGATCACCTGAGGTCACCTCGTGTCTACTAAAAATATGTACCTGTCCCTTGGAACTTACAGTCCAGTGATGAAAATGATGGCCTGGATAATTAGGGGTAGTGTGGTGATACAGTTTGGATGTTTGTCCCCTCCAAATCTCATGGTAAAAAGTGATTCCCCATTGTTGGAGGTGGCGCTTAGTAGGAGTTGTTTGGGTCACAGGGGTGAATCTCATGTGAATGGCGTGGTACCCTCCCCAAGGTGATGAGTGAGTTATTGCTATATTAGTTCATGCACGATCTGACTGTTTAAAAGAGCCTGGCATCTCTTTTGCTTGCTCTCTCAACATGTGACACACCTGCTCCCCCTTCACCTTCTGCCATGAGTAAAAGCTTCCTGAAGCTTCACCAGAGGCCGAGCATATGCAGGTGCCATGCTCCCCCTACAGTCTGCAGAACCATGAGCCAAGATAAACCTCTTTTCTTTACAAATCACCTAGTCTCAGCCGGGCATGGTGGCTCATGCCTGTAATCCCTGCACATTGGGAGGCCAGGGCGGGCAGATCATTTGAGGTCAGGAGTTCGAGACCAGCCTGACCAACATGGTGAAGCTCTGTCTCTACTAAAAATACAAAAAATTGGCCGGGCACAGTGGCTTACACCTGTAATCCCAGCACTTTGGAAGGCTGAAGCGGGCAGATCACCTGAGGTCACGGGTTCAAGTCCAGCCTGGCCAACATGGTGAAACTTTTCTCTACTATAAATATAAAAAATCAGCCGGGCATGGTGGTGGTTGCCTGTAATCCCAGCTACTCGGGTGGCTGAGGCAGGAGAATTGCTTGAACCCAAGAGGCGGGAGGTTGCAGTGAGCCGAGATAATGCCACTGCCCTCCAGCTTGGGTGACAGAGCAAGACTCTGTCTCAAAAAAAAAAAATGGTTTAAAAATGCAAAAAATTAGCTGGCACTGTGGTGCGTGCCTGTAATCCCAGCTACTCAGGGGGCTGAGGCAAGAGAATTGCTTGAGCCTGGGAGGTGGAGGTTGCAGTGAGCTGAGATTGTGCCGTTGCACTCCAGCCCAGGTGACAGAGCAAGACTCCATCTTAAAATAAAATAAAATAAAATAAAATAAAATAAAATAAAATAAAATAAAAACCATTTAACAGATAAAACAGAGGCTCAGGGAGGCTAACCAGTTTGTGAAGGGTCACTGCTGGAAGGTGACAAAGTAGGACTCAACTCAGCTTGACTGGGTGACAATAAGAATAACAGCTGATACGTCTAGGATTCTCTTCTTGTTTGTGTATTTATCCACTGTGTGAAGTGCTTTATTTGCATGATTTCATTTGGTCTTCTCAGCAACACTCTGAGAAGGGAGGTGCTGTTATTGTTCCCATTCCACAGATGAGGAAACTGAGGGCCAGCAAGGGAATGCCACCCAGCAGTGAGCAGCAAAGCCAGGGGGTGCTGAGCCCAGGGGGTGCCCTGTCTGCCTGCAGCTGTTATTGAAGATGTCCCTTTTCTCACCGTCAGGTTTTACTGGAACAGAAGAGAAAGCCAGTGAGATACTAATCATTAGCAATGTTAATATTACCTGATATTTAGTTGGCTTTATGCTTTTACAAAATGTACCTCCCTTTCTGTTGCCAGGAAGATTCTAGAGCATGTAGCAAGAAAAGCAAGTAATTGTCTTTCTCTGCAGCCCTGTGGAATCGTCGAAAGAGCACATACTATACCCTAAAATTAAACCTAGATTGAAGTTCTAGCTCCTTCTGCCTCTGAGACCTTGATTAACCTCATTGAGCCCCAGTTTCTCTGTCTTTAAAATGGGAATAGCAGGACTTAACTCATAACACTGTTGTGAGAATTAAATTAAATAACACAAGTCAAGTGCTGGCTGGTTAGTTAATTATTGTCATTCTGAGGAAGATAAGAGCATTAGCAGCCATCTGTTTATAATTTAAAGTGAGTAAGAAAGTTAGAATCTAACCAAAGTCAGGATCGAACAGAATACCGTTTTTCAAACTATGTTTCTGGGCCCTTAGGGAGATGTTAATAGGCATTTTATTGGTTTGTTTGTTTTCTGTGGGGTTTTTTTTGTTTGTTTGTTTGTTTGTTTGTTTGTTTTTTTGAGACAGAGTCTCACTCTGTTGCCCAGGCTGGAGTGCAGTGGTGCGATCTTGGCTCATTGCCACCTCCGCCTCCCAGGTTCAAGCGATTCTCCTGCCTCAGCCTCCTGAGCAGCTGGGATTACAGGCACCTGCCACCATGCCCAGCTAATTTTTGTATTTGTAGCAGAGATGGAGTTTCGCCATGTTGGCCAGGCTGGTTTTGAACTCCTGACCTCAAGTGATCCACCTGCCTTGGCCTCCCAAAGTGGTGACTTAAAGGTGTGAGCCACTGCACCCAGCCTAATAGGCATTTTATAAAAAGGTGTTCTATGGTTAAATAACTTTGGGAAATGCTCTGTATATTATCCCCTACTCACACACTCACATAGTAAAGGCTCTGAGAAGTCCCGCAATAAAGAAATTCATTTCACTTTGTTTTCTCTGACACATTTCCAACTTATTAAGCATGGGACCCTTTTATTGAGGAGCACAGCATCTTGCAGACTCTAGTTCAGGAGTCGGCAAACTACAGGTGGGCCCACTGCTTGTTTTTGTAAATAAAGTTCTGTTGGAAACCAGCCATGCCCATTTATGTATGCATTGTCTGTGACTTTCACTGTACTGTGGCAGAGTTGAGGAATGATGACAGAGACTCTGTGGCCCACAAATCTTAAAATATTTACTGTCTGGTCCTTTAAAAAAAAGTCCGCTAAAACTGAAGTTAGTGTAAAGATGGGGGCAGACATTGGGAATGATGTAGCCACAAGACAAACAATGCCACCAGCCACCAGGAACTGGGAGAGGCAAAGAATGACTTTCTTCTCTAGAGTCTCCAGAGGGAATGTGGCCCAGCCAACACTTTGATTTGGGCCCAAGGAAACTAATTTTGGACTTCTGGCCTCCAGATCTGGGAGAGAATAAGTTTCTTTTGTTTCAAGCCACTCAGCATGTGGCAATTTCCTACAGGAGCTACAAGAAACTAATGAACAGGTGGGCCTGGCGCAGTGGCTCATGCCTGTAATCCTAGCACTTTGGGAGGCCGAGCCAGGAGGATCACTTGAATCCAGGAGTTCGAACCCAGCCTGGGTGGCATGGTGAAACTCTGTCTCTACCAAAAAAAAAAAAATTAGCCTAGCACGGTAGCATATGCATATAGACCCAGCTACTCAGGAGGCTGAGGTGGGAGAATCTCTTGAGCCTGGGAGGCAGAGGATGCAGTGAGCCGAGATCACGCCACTGCACCCCAGCCTGGGCAACAGAGCAAGACCCTGTCTTAAAAAAAAAAATCAAAAACAAATACACAGGTGTTTATGCCACTTGTATTTGTCAGAGAAGGAAGTTGGTCCATCTCATGAGCGACATTCACAACAGCAGAGGAAACACCTGGTCTTGTTATGCCAGCAGTGGAGGTTATAAAGTCCTCTGGGTGCAACCGACACCACCTGCCACGGGGGTGATGTTTTATACTCTCCCTCCTCTTGTTCCAGTTGTCATTAGTTGCCTGTATACATCTGAGATTTTTCATTTTTAGGTTATTTTTGAATATTTTAAAATTATAAAATATTTCAACTATACAGAAAATAATATATAATGGGGATCTCCACACCTACCATTGAGATTGAACCTTTTCCATGCTTGCTTCAGATCTTCCTCTTTCCTTTTAGAGAAATAAAAGCCACTCCGCTGACCCCACTTACATCCACTGTATTGTTTCCTGTCTGTATTAATCAGGGTATCCCAGGTGCTGCTGTCAACAACACCAAAGTCTCAAAGTTGTCACCCAACATTCTTTTCAGCTCATCAGAGTCCAGTGGAGGTTGGCCAAGGTGCTCTGCTCCAGGCAGTCATTTAGGGATCGTGGCTTCTTCCATGGAATGAAATCACCATCCCCCAGGATGTTCTCATAGGACAATTTCTCAACTTGAGGTGTATATAAAAGTCATCTGGAGAGCCTTGAGTAGCAGGGGGATGAGACCTCAGTCTCCACTGGAACCTCAACATCAGGGGGCCAATGAGGGAAGGGAAACTGGAGAATTACATGAAAGGTTTTTGGCCCAAGGCAGTGGTGCAGAACACTTCCACCCACATTCTTTCCTTGGCTAGGACCCAGTCAGAAGGCCTCACCTAACAGCGGATAATCTGGGAAACTTTTGTCTTACTGAGAGCCTGGGGGAAGATTAAGTGGGACTTGGGGAACCATGGCAGTATCTCTGCCACATCCTTTGAAATGTGTATTCCTTCTCCTTCCCTAGACGTTACCACTGGTTCCTTACTTTTACTACACATTTATGTCCATAAACAAAATATGGTGTTGGTTTTGGTGCATATCAAATTAACATAGCTTATATTCTACATACATCCTTTTGCAACTTGTGCTGTTACACAGTGTTGTGTTTTTGAGGTTTGTGTGTATTCTTGCTTCTCAAAGTGCAGTCCCTGGACCAGTAGCATGAGCACCTGGCAACTTGTTAGAAATGTAAAGCCTCAGACCCCACCCCAGACCTACTGATTCAGAAACTGTGAGGTGGGGCCAGCAGTCTGTGCCTTTCTAAATCCTCCAGATAATTTGAATGCACACTGAAGTTTGATAACCACAGATCTTTATTAATATGTGTAGCTCTAGTTCTCAGTTTATTCATTTTTCAGCAATATGTAATATTCTTTGGTTTATTCATCCATTCCCCTAACTCATGAGCAATTAGATTGTTTCTTTATTTTTTTACCATTATGTATATTACAGTAATGATCATCTCACTACATATGCACAAAAGTTTCTCTAACACAGCCATCTAGAAATGAAATTGTTGAATTTTAGGATTGAGTAGCTTTAGCTTTATCCAGAATCCCAAGACGGTTCTTTCTCGAGGCAGGCTGGGTGCGGTGGCTCACGCCTGTAATCCCAGCATTTTGGGAGGCCACAGTGGGCAGATGACCCCTAGGAGTTCAAGACCAGCCTAGGCAACACGACAAAACCTTGTCTCTACAAAACATACAAAAATTAGCCAGGCATGGTGGTACATGCCTGTAGTTCCAGCTATTCAGGAAGCCGAAGTGGGAGGATTGCTTGAGCCTGGGAAGTAGAGGCTGCAGTGATCCACGATTACACCACTGCACTCCATCCTGGGTGATGAAGTGAAACCCTGTCAAAAAAGAAAAAGAAGCTATAGCAATTTACACTTCTTCCAATGCTGGATACAAGTTGTTTTTTCTTGTTTTCCTTTAAGCTTTTCGCATTACTTTGAAATCCCTTATCTTCAAGGTGTACTAGAGACACATTATCAAGAAAGGGTTAAGACATTGTCTTTTTTTTTTTTTTTTAGAAGTTTTAGATTTAAACATGGACACAGAACCTGGCTCCATCACTTCCTCTATCGCCCACTGCTTGGTGGGTTTACTTCTTGATGTTTGATTTTTCTTTGCCTAACAGAGGTAATAGCGGGCAGTTCTCTCTTTTTCCTAATCTTGATGGGAGTGCCTCTAGGATGCCTGTAACAGACAAGGTTCGCCAGAGAAACAGAACCAGTAGAATATATGTACATAGATTTATTTTAAGGAATTGCCTTGTAGGACTGCAGGGGCTGGAAAGTCTGAAATCTGCAGAACAGGCCAGCAGGCTGAAAGCTCTTGGAAGGAGCTGATGCTGCATTTTTTGTTGTTGTTGTTGTTGTTTTTTGACACAGCGTCTCTCTCTGTCGCCCAGGCTGGAGTGCAGTGGCGCAATCTCAGCTCAGTATAACCTTCGCCTCCCGGGTTCCAGCAAGTCTCGTGCCTCAGCCTCCTGAGTAGCTGGGACCACAGGTGTGAGCCGCCACACTGGCTAATTTTTATAATTTTATTAGAGACAGGGTTTTGCCATGTTGGCCAGGCTGGTCTCGAACTCCTGGCCTCAACTGATCTGCCTGTCTCGGCTTCCCAAAGTGCTGGGATTACAGGCGTGAGCCACGGTGCCCAGCCCTGATGCTGAAGTCCTGAGGCAGAATTTATTCTTCCTCGGGGAAACCTCAGTCTTGTTCTTACAGCCCTTCAGCTGATTGGATGAGGTTCACCCAGGATATCAAGGAAAATCTTCATTGCTTATGTCAACTGATTGTAGATGTTAACAACATTTACAAAATGCCATCACAGCAAAACCCAGATCAGTGTTTGATTGCATAACTAAATACTACAGCCTAGCTAGCTGAATCGAGACATTAAACTAAACATATAGTCCCCCTTTAAACAAGAGGGCAGCTTTGAAGCTGGCGCTGATGTTTTATCATGTTAACAAAGTATTCATCTTGGCTGGGTGCTGAGGCTCATGCCTGTAATTTCAGCACTTTGGGAGGCCGAGGTGGGCAGATCACTCGAGGCCAGGAGTTCGAGACCAGCCTGGAAACCCCATCTCTACCAAAAATACAAAAATTAGCCAGGCATGGTGGTGCATGCCTGTAATCCTAGCTACTTGGAAGGCTGAGGCATGAGAATAGCTTGAACCTGGGAGGTGGAGGTTGCAGTGAGCCCAGATGGCACCACTGCATTCCAGCCTGGGTAACAGAGTGAGACTGTCTCAAAAAAAAAAAAAAATATATATATATATATATAGATAGATAGATAGATAGATAGATAGATAGATTCATCTAGTTTAATCTAGTAAAATGTTTAAAATTAAAGATGGTTGTTATGGCCAGGCACAGTGTTTCACATCTATAATCCTAGCAGTTTAAGAGGCTGAGGCCAGGAGTTCGAGACCAAGCCTGGGCAACATAGTGAGACACCTTCTCTATAAAAAAAATTAATTAAAAAATTAGCTGAGCACGGCGGTGCACACCTGTAGTCCCAGCTACTCGGGAGACTGAGGATCCCTTGAGCCTGAGAGTTCGAGGCTGCAGTGAGCCATGGTCATGCCACTATACTCTCCACCCTGAGTGATACAAGAGACCCTCTCTCAAAAAAAAAAAAAAAAAGCTGTTGAATTTGATCAAAAAGCATTTGATTTTTCTCCTTTCATCTGTTGCTATGAAGAGCTGCATTATTAGATTTTCTATTAATCCTTACATTCAGTGAACCCCTCTTGATCATAACCTCTTATTCTTTGAATGTACTTCTGGATTCCGTGTGCCACTGTTCTGCTGGGATTTTTGCTCCTCATTTGTAAAAGTTCTTAAGTGTTCCTCTCCCTTTTTACATGGCTTCCCGGAAATGGCTCCCGTCACTTTCACTTAGATCTCATTGGCCACCACTCAGTCACACTTACCGCATGGCAGGCTGGGGAGTGTCATCTTGTGGCTGGGTGCCAATGGCCCTAAGCAAAGATTGAGACGCTTATTTTGAAAGAGGAAGGGGAGAAGGAATATCGGGAGGCACTAGCAATCTCTGTACCGGGGTGATTATCCCTTGTCTATAAATGAGAGACTGGAAGCTCAGCAAGGTGTGTTCACTTATCCAGGGTCACACAGCAAGTCTGTGGCCAGGCTGTGACTTCAGAGGCCAGGTCTTCCAGATGCCAAGGGAGATGCCATTAGGGACCCGTGATAGTAATAAAGTAAGAAATATTAGATGATAATACGACGGAGTAATAATAAATATCCAGTGTCCCTAGTACTGGTCTAAATGCTTCATTAACATGAACTCATTTCATTCTCACAACAATCCTATGAGGTAGACACTCTTAATGCCCCCAATTTGCAGATGAGGAAACTGAGGCACAGAGAAGGTAAGTGACTTGCCTGGGGTATGTAAATGACAGGGCTTAGACTCTAAGACTCTTAATCACTGCATGATTCTGCCTCTCCCCGCACCATTCCCCACTCGCACTCCCCTGACCCAGAGACTGCAACTCAAACAGCAGCAGCCACTGCTCCCTGTGCACCTGCAGAACCATCGAAACTGCTCCCACCAACCCAGGCACCATACACCCTTGTCCCCAGCCTCCTTACATCCTCTTCCCTCAACTACCCTGGTACCCTCCTTTTCTGTCTGTGGGGCCTGCACCTCACTTTTTCTTGAGTCTGTGTTTTTGTTTTGAGATAGGGTCTTGCTGTGTCACCCAAACCGGTGTGCTTTGATGCGATTGTGGCTCACTACAGCCTCAAACTCCTGGGCTCAAACGATCCTCCCACCTCAGCCCCCTGAGTAGCTGGGACTACAGGTGTGCACCACACTCAGCTAATTTTTTAATTTTTTCTTTTTAAGACAGTTTCGCTCTTGTTGCCCAGGCTGGAGGGCAATGGCACGATCTCACTACAACCTCCGCCTCCCAGGTTCAAGTCGTTCTCCTGCCTCAGCCTCCCAAATAACTGGGATTACAGGCGCCCGCCACCATGCCCAGCTAATTTTTGTATTTGTTGTAGAGATGGGGGTTTCACCATGTTGGCCAGGCTGGTCTCAAACTCCTGACCTCAGGTGATCCACCTGCCTTGGCCTCCTAAAGTGCTCGTAAGCCACCACACCTGGCCTAATTTTTAAGTTTTTTATAGCAACGGGGTCTTGCTGCATTGCCCAGGCTGGTGTTGAACTCCTGGCCTCAAGAAATCCTCCTGCCTTGGCCTCCCAATGTGCTGGAATTACAGGTGCGAGCCGCTGCATCCAGCCTTCATGTTTTGTTGCTGTCCTTGTGTTTTGTTTTGTTTTTCCCTTCACTCTGCCCCCTGGGAGACTCCCAAAGGCTACATTCTGCCACCAAGGGACGCAGCAGGGACAGGGCCCCAGCAGGCACCTGGGATTTCCCACACCCCACCCTCTACTGGATGAAGATGGTGGGGAGGTTTTGGGTGATTTATTTATTTATGTAGTCCCGCCTGGCTCCACACCCCCCAAGCTGTTGTTCCGCCACTAGAGAAGATGAAAAACAACCTCAGACAATGGAAGACAAGGCTTGCCACATGGCCCCCGCAGTTTAATTTCCTTTAATTCATTTTCTATTGAACCAAATGATACTGTTTGTTTTTAATGGCAAACGGCAGGGAGGAGGGGCGGTCAGGCCTCCTCCTGGGGAAATTAGGAACATAGCTGCTATTGAAATTCTTGCTCCCCGTCCTGTGCTCCCCCTGGCTCCCCCACTCTCACCCCCAGCACTGGGCCGTTGGAAATCGACCTCCAGGTTGAAAGATGATACTTGTCACCAGCTCAGATGGTCACTGTCTGGCGAGCTGGCCTGGCTCCGCCCCAGCTGCCATCAGCCCCTTTTAGGATGGCCGCCCCATCCCAAGGCCCACCCTTCTGTGGTTATAACTGGATGCACAGGGCCGGAGCCATGGCTTTTTTGGTGCCCCTCTCCCCTGCCTATCGCTGGTAATCCTGAGCAGGCACCTAGTCCTTGCTGGAGCCATCCAGTGCCCTCCCCCAGGAACTGAAGAACACAGAGGCTGGGCACAGTTAGAGCTGAGTTTGTTCATTCATTCATTCATTCATTCATTCATTCATTCATCACCTGGGAGCAGAGTCGTGGCTGCATCCCAGTCCTCCTCCATCAGAGGTTGCGTTTGAACTCGATTCCTGGTGGTTCAGGTGCTGACAGGAGTTGAGAAGTGCTGATGAGAGGAGAGGTCCTTCCACTTCGTTGTGAGGTTTCGGCAACTCCTTCATGTGGCCTGGGGGGTCCAGCGCTTCTTTGAAGTCCGAGAAGATCCACAATCTTTCCAAAGCCCCCTCTTTTTTGCTGGAATGGGCCAGAGTCAGCTCCAGTTCTCGCAGGTAAAGAGCACTTTGATATGCAACCAGCCCCTTTGGGAGAGGCTTTGGCCTGCTCATGGCTTCACTGGGAGCCATGCCAAGATGGTCAGTTCCCGATTCAGACATCCCGGAGGTCTCTCTGGTTCCTCAAAGACTGGGCTTCACCCCTGCCCTCTTTTTCACAGACCGGTAGACCCAGAAAGACCTTTTCTTTTTTTTTGAGATGAAGTCTTGCTCTTGTTGCTCAGGTTGGAGCACAATGGCACAATCTCAGCTCACTGCAACCTCCACCTCCCGGGTTCAAGCTATTCTCCTGCCTCAGCCTCCTGAGTAGCTGGGACTACAGGCACCCACCACCACGCTCAGCTAATTTTTTGTATTTTTTAGTAAAGACAGGGTTTCACCATGTTGGCCAGGCTGGTCACAAACTCCCAACCTCAGATGATCCACCCACCTCGGCCTCCCAAAGTGCTGGGCTTGCAGACGTGAGCCACCGTGCCTAGGCCAGAAAGACCTTCTTATTCTGCTGATTTGAGGAAACCAAGTCCCCAAAGTGACCAGTTCTGGGTCACATGATTTGTTTTCTCATGCATTCATTCTGCAGATATATTGGACACCCCAGAGTGCCGAGACCTATGCTAGGCATGGGGTTCTGCAGACCAGGAGTTTCACGCTGAAAGCTCACAGTCCAGTGGGGGTGTTGCAGGCAAGGAAGCAGTCACTCCAAGGCCCTCTGGGAAAACAGAGAATGGACACCTAAACCAGTCCCCAGCAGAGACTTCCTGAAGAAGGTGACATCAGAGCTGAGTTTTAAAGCAGGGCTGGGAGTTACCCAGGCATCGCAAAGCCACAAGGGCACGGCAGGAAGAGGGGACAGCCGCAGCCATGGTGTGGAAGTGGAAAACAGTTCGGGGTGTGCGTTTTTCCAGATAACTCCTGAACATCCCATTCCCACCAGACTCTAAGCTCCATGGGGGCAGAATAAGAATCTGCCCAGTGGCTCAGGGTAGGTGAGTGAGTGACTCTCAAATAAAGTGATGAGCAAACAGCAGTGGTTGGTATGAATTTGCTCACAGGGCAAAGCAGGGAGACTCACGTTCTTGGCTCCGAGACCCACCCTGACCCACCTTTCCAAACTACATCATGGGTATGTGGTGGCAACCCCTGCTGTGGGGTGCTGGGGGAATTAATCATCAAGCTAAGGGCTGATCATTTTTCTCTTCTTCAACTCAATGATTAAGCAAGGCAGCCAGGCTCCCTGAGGGGGCCTTGGAGGTGTCTACTTTGGCTCCCTGCTCCTGAGGGGGAAGACAGGGACTGCTGTGTTGGTTTCCTGCTTTTTGCTTCCATTGGGGTAGGGGGGACTACCCTGCTTCCATATTTCCCCCAGATGTTTCTCCTTCCCTGGAGAGAAGAAAAGGTAGCAGAACTGAGATTTGGCCTCAGGGAGCCCACTGATAACACGTCTCAACTTTTAGCTTGTCCAGAAAGGTTCCAGAGTGGATTGGAAAGAGCTTGGGCTCTGGAGTCAGGTGGATCTGAGCTGGAATTTTGGTTCCACCATTTCCATCAGTATCACTTCCAGTCAGTCACCTCCCTTCTCCATGCCTCAGTTTCCTCATCTGTAAAAAAGGAAGTTATCCACCAGGCATGATGGCTCACGCTACTCGGAAGTTTGTCTTTCCAGCTACTAGGAAGGCTGAGGTGGGAGGATGGCTTGAGCCCAAGAGTTCAAGTCCAGGTGGGCAACATAGAAAGACCCCCATTTCAAAAAAAAAAGAAATATTCCTGTTTACCTCTGGAGGTAGGGTGGAGACTGGAGGTGATTTAAAAAATAAATGGAAGCAATGCAGGTGGAGGTGATTTTAGCAATCCCTGGCACATGTAAATGCTCAATGGGTGTATTTTTTTTTTTCCTTTTTTTGAGACAGAGTCTCACTCTGTCGCCCAGGCTGGAGTGCAGTGGGGCCATCTCGGCTCACTGCAACCTCTGTTTCCCAGGTTCAAGCAATCCTTGTGCCTCAGTCTCCTGAGCAGCTGGGATTACAGGCGCCCACCACCACACCTGGCTAATTTTTGTATTTTTAGTAGAGACGAGTTTTCGCCATGTTGGCCAGGCTGATCTTAAACTCCTGACCTCAAATAATCTGCCCGCCTTGGCCTCCCAAAGTGCTGGGATTACAGGCGTGAGCCAACGCACCCGGCATGCGTGCGCGTGCGTTTGTGCATGTGTGTGTCTGTGTGTGTGTGCATCCACCCTCATGACCCTCGTGGAAATCCAGGCCCTGTTGCAGGGGGCTTGGCAGCCCACCGAGGCTTTGCTGGCCTCTGGCTCTTCTCCTCGGGGCCCAGAAGTGCTAAGATCAGAACCCTGAATGGAAGGAAGGAAAAGAAGGGAGGAAATATTATCCTTACTAGTTACCAATAGGCACCAGCCCTGGACTGGGTCCTGGGGCTGCCTGGTTTGAATCCTGCCTTTGCCACTAGCTATATACCCTCGGGTGAGTGAGTTCACCGGGTCAAACTCTGATGCCTCTTCTGTGTACATGACTGATGATGTTACCTGGCTCCAGGAGGAGCCCGGTGAGGAACAAATGAGGTCATGAGGTTTAGAACAGAGTTTTCAGTGCCTGCTCAATCTCAGCTGTTGGGATAAGACCTGACCCTGACTTCAAGGGGCTGATGGAGAGGTGGGGCAGAGACACACAAAAGAACAAGAACAAGACAGAGGGAGATGGCACCTGGAACACAGACTTATTCCCTGCTGCAGCCTTATCCAGGGTGCCTGGCACATAGCAGCCCGACATAAATACACACTGAGTGATGACCATAGCAGCCCGACATAAATACACGTTGAGTGACAACGCAGAGATGCAGGCAGAGGACGGGGATGGCAGAGGGAGGAGAGGAGGGACAGCTCTGTTCCCTCATGGGCCTGACCAGATTACCGCAGGTCCCTGGGGCGTGGCATTACTGAAAGCAGACTTGTCACTACACTAGGTGAGGCCAGGAGGTGGCGGGGAGATCTCTGCAGCCAGCCTTCTGTGTCTAGGCCTGTTCCTATCTTTTTTTTTTTTTTCCTTGAGACAGGGTCTCACTCTGTCACCCAGGCTGGAGTTCAGTGGCGCGATCTCAGCTCACTGCAACCTCCACCTCCTGGGTTTAAACGGTTCTCCTGCCTCAGCCTCCTGAGTAGCTGCGATTACAGCATGCGCCACCACACCTGACTAATTTTTGTATTTTTAGTAGAGATGGGGTTTTACCATGTTGGCCAGGCTGGTCTCTAAATCATGGCCTCAAGTGATCCACCTGCCTTGGCCTCCCAAAGTGCTGGGATTACAGGTGTGAGCCACTGCGCCTGGCTAGGGCTGTTCCTATCTTAGGAGGAGGAAACCATCGTTCCAAGAGTTTCAGTACCTTGTCCATAATCCCACGCCATTCAGAGGCAAGGGAGTCCTTTGGTTTTCTGTTTTGTTTTGTCATTTGTTTTTGTTTTTTTCTTTTGAAACAGGGTCTCACTCTGTCACCCAGGCTGGAGTGCAGTGGCACGATCACGATTCATTGCAGCCATGACCTCCCAGGCTCAAGCCATCTTCCTGCCTCAGCCTCCCCGATAACTGGGACTACAGGCATGTGCCACCATGCCTGGCTAATTTTTTTTGTATTTTTTGTAGAGACAGGGTTTTGCCATGTTATCCAGGTTGGCCTTGAACTCTTGGTCTCAAGCGATCCACCCACCTTGGCCTCCTCCCAAAGTGCTGGGATTACAGGTGTGAGCCTCCTGGCCAAGGGAGTCCTTTTGAATGCTTGCCTGGCCTTCGCCTCTCTTCCCAGCCCGACACCTCAGCCATCGCTTGCCAAGTGTTTTGAATGCCTCTTAGGGCTGAATCATGCTCTTGTTCTCTCACCTCCTCCAGGCCTTTGCAGTGGCTGTTCCCTGTGCTAGGAACACTGTCTCCCCAGCCCCATCTGGCTGACCCCTCATCACCCCATCACCCTCAGGTGTTTAGATATCATTTCCACTTGGAAGTCTAAACTTGTGGTTGGGTGACTCACCTGTGTGCTTCCATAGCCCCGAGGCCACTTCTGTTGTGAATGCATCATGTGATGTTGTGTTTGCTGGTTTGTCTCCCCCATTAGGACTTAAAACTTGGCAAGAACAGAGATCAAGTCTCTTGTATATTTCATTTTATTCCCAGCACAGTGCATGGTACATAGCAGGTACTCAAAACACATACGCTGAAGGTAATTAATTCATGAGAATGTTGCAGATATTTCTCCCTTCACTATATTTTCTCTGAAGCAGGCAGTGTGAATTCAGTTGGAAGGGTCTACCAGACTTGGAGTCAAGCAGGTTCCATTCCCAGCTCTTTCACTTATAAGTCATGGACCTTGGATGAGTCAGTAGCCTTCTCTAAGCCTCAGTGTTCTTCCGTATATAATGGGGATAGTATTCATGATGTGAAGATTAAACAGGACCATACCTTTAATATGAATGAAGCCTTTTGATCACTACAGCTTAGTAAGTGCTAGGCTCGATTTATCAATTAGTGAAAAAACAAGGTAAGCAGAGGAAACGGGGCCTTGGAAAACATGACCCCAGCCCTCCCCGTGTCATTCTCCAGGAGTAGATGATGATAGTCATTGTCATGGCAACATTGTAGAAGCCAGTCACCATGCACGTACTACCTGCCAGCCACTGTCCTAGGCACTTTCCATTCATCCATTTCTTCATCCACTGAACCAGTATTTTTTGGCCACCTATTCTGTACCAGGCCCAGGACTAGGTCCCAGAAATACAGCAGTGAAGAAGCAGAGCATGCACTTTCAAGGGACTTAGATAAAAAGATGCTGAAATCAGTAGGCAATATGTCAGATGGAGATCAAACAGGGAGTGTCATTGTTTGCAGGGCGGGGAAGGGAGGGCGATGCTCTTTTAGACAGTGGTGGGGGGTAGGGAGAAGGTAACATTCATGCAAAGCCTTGAAGGAAGCAAGGGAGTGTGCCATGTGGATATGTGGGGAAGAGGATTCCAGGCTGGGGAAACAGCATATGTAAAGGCCCTGAGGTGGAAACGTGCTTGGCAAGGTTAAGGAGCAATGAGCCTGTGTGGCTGGAGCAGAAGAAGGGGCAGGGCAACTTCATGGGCAAGCACCCTTTGCAGAAGGCCCAAACACTTGGTTTAATGCTCCACTGTTGCCGTATGATATTTTTTTTTTTTTCCGACAGAGTCTCACTCTGTTGCCCAGACTGCTGGAGTGTGCAGTGGTGCAATCTCGGCTGGCTGCAACCTCTGCCTCCTGGGTTCAAGTGATTCTCATGCTTCAGCCTCCCGAGTAGCTGGGATTACAGGCATGCACCACCATGCCCAGCTAAGTTTTCTATTTTTAGTACAGATGGTGTTTCACCTGCGTGCAAGCATGCCCAGCTAAATTTTTGTATTTTTAGTAGAAATGGGGTTTCACTATGTTAGCCAGGCCGGTCACAAACTCCTGACCTCAGGTGACCCGCCTGCGTCGGCCTCCCAAAGTGCTGGGATTACAGACATGAGCCACGGCGCCCAGCCGAGATTCTTAGTATGTCAACAAGGGGCCCTGCATTTTAATTTTACACTGGGTATCATAAATGATGTAGCCGGTCCTAGTAGTAGTAGATGTAGTCAAAGAGGTGGTTGTAACCACAGCTCAGAGGCCACTCCCAGGCCTGGGTGTGCTCTGGCCTCCTCCCATCTTGCCATGGAAGCCAGCCCACCAGAGATGCTCCAGCCATGCCATCCTGACACTACCCTCATGACAGTCTAACTATTTCTTCTCTGTGTTAGCTTCCTGTGAGTACTGTAACAAATAACCACAAACCTTGTGGCTTAAAACAACACAACTGTATTATCTTACAGTTCTGGAGGTCAGATGTCCAAAATCTGTGTCACTGGGCTAAAGCCAAGGTGTCTGCACTGTGGTTCCTTTGGGAGGCTCCGGGGGACAATCCATTTTCTTGTCTTTTCTAGCTTCTAGAAGCTCCCTGCCCTCCTTGCCTCTGGTCCCCTTCTCTATCTTCAAAGTGCATCTCTCCAACCTCTGTGTCTGTTGTCTCATTGTCTTCCTTCAACCTGACCCTCTTGCCTTCCTCTAATAAGGATCCTTGTGATGATATTGGGCCCGTCCAGGTCACCTGGGATAATCTCCCCATCTCAGGAGCCTTAATTTCATCACATCTGCACGTGCACAAAATTCCTTTCGCCCTGTAAGGTACCAAATTCATAGGTTCTGGGGATTGGGATATGGACATCTTTGGGGCGGGGGCATTATTCAGCCTTCCATATCCCCTACTTTGCTAACGAGGAAACTGAGGCCCAGAGAAGTGATTGATATGACTTCGGCAAAGTCACCCTCCCAGCAGGACAGATCCACACTTGAGGACCCTGTTTGTCAAGTTTGAAGTCATGGGCTCCAGACCACCAGGAAAGGAGATGCCCTCTGCCCATCTCTGCCTGTCTCCCTCCTTCCCTTGCACCTCTCCCTCCACTCCCTAGTGTTTTGGGAAACAGCCAGGCTTGGGCAGTTTAGCCCAGAGCATTTGTGCTTAAGACTATAGCTGACTTGGGGACAGATAAGCTCATCCATCCACCTGGGACCAGGACAGAGGGAAGAGAACGCCTTTTCGTAGCTAACAGGGTCCCAGGCCACTATGGGCTTAATCATCAACATCTTATAATTAGGCCTCTCCTGGGTACTGGGGAGCAGGGCCCTGTGTGTAGGGAAGCTGCTGATGCAGTTGCTGGGGCACGTGCGCTGGGCCCTTCCTGTTCATGGGGCCGATGCTCTTAGATCAAGGGAACCATGGCCAATGAAATTGGGTACCCCACTGCTGCTGTTGACAGGAAGATTTTTACTCACAGCCCAGCAACTCTTTTGGGGCCTCAGCCTGGCCCCAAGGACTCTGCCAGCTGGCCCCTGGGACCATAGCACCAGAGGCGATCGCGGCCTCCTCCTCCCCCTCCTCGCCAGAAGAGCAGAGAGAGGATCTTTATAGGAAATTGGGGGTGAGAGGGAGAAAATGACACATTTTCATCAGCTCTGGTTTTAATAGTGAGTGTCCAGTTATCTAGTGGCAGATGTTGTGGGTAAGAGCATCTGTACAGACATCAGAGACCTGGATTCAAATCCCACCTCTGCTACATCTGAGCTCTATAAGCTTAGGCAAAATGGTGAACTTCTCTGAAACTGAGCCTCAGTTTCTCTCATCTGCAAAGTGGAGGTGACAATTTCCCCCCTCATGGGGTTGTTATAGTCTATTTTTAAAGTGGGTAAGCAAAATTTCAGCTTGTGGCCTTAAAAAAATAACATGTATGAGGTATAAAAACAAAAAATAACAAATACTCGTGTACCCAGCTTAAAAAGTAGAGAACTGCTAGTTTCTTAGAAACCCCTTGTGTATATCTCCTGGGTTCCATCCATCTTCTTCCCTCCCTTTGCCCATAAGAAAAGTTTTGTGATTACCATTTGTGTGTTTTCCTTGTGTCTGGTCTTTGTAGTTTCCTTGTTTTTGTTTTGTTTTGTTTTTTGAGATGGAGTCTCGCTCTGTCGCCCAGGCTAGAATACAGTGGTGCGATCGCAGCTCACCGCAACCTCCACCTTCTGGGTTCAAGCGATTCTCATGCATCAGCTTCCCAAACAGTTGCGTCTACAGGCACGCACTACCATGGCCGACTAATTTTTGTATTTTTAGTACAGATGGGGTTTCACGATGTTGGCCTGGCTGGTCTCGAACTCCTGACCTCAAGTGATTTGCCCGCCTCAGCCTCCCAAAGTACTGGGATTACAGGTGTGAGCCACTGCACCTGGCCTGTTTTTATTTTTTAAATAGAGACAGGAGGTCTCATGATGTCTCCCAGGCTAGTCTCAAACTCCTGGCCTCTAGCAATCCTCATGCCTCAACCTCCCAAAGTGCTGGGATTACAGGCATGAGCCACTGCACCAGCCTGATTTTTGTAGTTTTTACGTCTTCTTCCTTGCTGTTATTAAAGGTGAGAGCATAAGCTGTATAACCTTGTCCCTTCCACGCCTAATTTCCTACTCAGTTCCTCTGATTTTCCTCTCCTCTCAGCTACCAACAGAGGACACTACTGATTGGGAAACCAGAATGCCAAACTTGTCACTACTGTAGTACACTTAAGAATTAATAGGCTCTGAAAAGCACCACAGGGACTTCACTGTAAGTAAAGTATATGTAGCAAGGGGCTTTTGAACTTCCTAGAAAGTATGGAGTAAGACCACACTTTACACTCAAACAAACCTGAGTTTTGAGCAGCACTGCTCACCATCCTAAGCCACCAATTCTTTGCATTTACTCCAAAAATATTTCAGTGTCATATTATGACAGGCACTGCGAAGGTGTTGGGGATAAGATGATAAATGAAAGAAACAGACCAAAACAGAGTCCCTGCTCTCATTTCATTGGGGGAAATCACCATTAAACTATATCAACACGCAAATATAGAACTTCAAGTTTCAACAAGCACTAGAGACAAATAAAAACAATTCATGGAGAATTCGTTTAGGGAAACGGGAAAGGGCTTTCTCTGTGGGATGGACATTTGAGCTGAAACTTGTACTTCCTTGACATCTGACTTTGGTTTTAAAAAATATTTACCAGCCTGGGCAACACAGGGGAGACCCCCTCTCTACAAAAAAAGTCTTTAAAAAATTATCTGGGGCATGGTGGCACACACCTGTGGTCCCAGCTACTCGTGGGGCTGAGAGGGGAGGCTCGCTTGAGCCCAGGAACTCAAGGCTGCAGTGAGCTGAGATCGCACCACTGCACTCCAGCCTGGGTGACAGTGAGGCCCTATCTCAAAAAAAAAAAAAAAATCCGCTTTTTCGTCTGCAAACCTGGGCTGGTAATATCCCTCCCAGCTTTGCCCTTAGTAACAGGCCCTGGCTCAGTGCCTGGTTCAGCACTGCCGTTCAGTAAATGTCATGTCCCTTCCTTCCTGTCGTTCCTGGCTGTGTATGTTGCTGGAGGTCTTCTGAGGAGTGGTGTGAGTGAGCAGTCTCTAAGCGATGGGAGAAATCTGCTGCTGGCAAGTGAGTTGTGAAGCCTCTAATAGGCTCTCACTGGACCCTCTTCAACTGGGTTTGATGGCGACCCTGTCGGAGAGAGAAGGGAGGGTGTATCGTCCACTGTCAACATTCGGAAGCCTTCCTCTTTTTCTGGGGAAGGTGGTGTCGAGTAATTGAAAGGCTCTGCTGTAGAGTCAAGTCACCTGGGTACAAGTCCCAGTTCTGCAGCAAGTAACTTGACCTCTCCGAGCCTTGTGTTCTCATCTGTAAAATGGTCCGTATAATTCCTCTACAGTGGTCTGTCATGTGGAACAGGACCCAGCATTGCGGGGGCACGCCGCAAGTGGGACCGTTACCACTGTTTACACCAGAGCAAGGAGGAACTGGGGTAAAGGTGCAGAGGTTTGGGGTACAGGTAAGGAGAAGAAAAAGGCTGTCAAAGGGCTCATTCACATCATGGAGGTCCGGGTTCCTGCGCCACCCTTCCCTACGTGGGTAATCTGGGGCAGATTCCTTTATCCCTCTGATCCCGTTTCTTCGTCTGTAAGACACAGCTCCACAACTTCCTTCACTCAGTGGCTGTGAAATCCTGCAGGCAAGCCGCGTCGCATGGCCCCTGACTTCAAGTTTAGGGGAGCTGATGAGGTCACTCCCTGCTGGACAAGGGGTCTTCGGGGTGAAATGTCCAAATAAGAGAGCGGGGAGTGGACGCGCAAAGATGCGTCAAAAGGATGGAAAAGGCAGCTTTGCCCTTCGCAAACTGAGATCTCCTTTGTCCGCGAAGGGCTAAGAGCCTCAGGCTCGGGGGCCTGGTACCGGCGCGGGACGCCCGGAGGCCAGACCCGGAGCCGGCGGCGCGCAGAGCGGGGCGGCCCGGGGCGCGGGGCTGTGACCTCATCGGCCGGCGCCGTCCCGCGGGGCCATGAGATCATGAGATGCCGGCGCTCGCCGAGGAGTCGATTTGTTGGGAGCGCGGGGACAGCCGGCCGCCCGACGCGGTGATCTCATCCGGGCCCGGGGGAGGAGGAGGCAGGCGGCCGGGCCAGCCCGCGCCGCCAGGAGGGGGATTAATGGCTGCCGCCGGGTGGTGACGTCACCGGCAGCACCCGTTGCCAGGCAACGCGCGGCCACCAGCCCCGCCCCGCTGGCCCCGCCTCCTACCTGCTGCGCTTCTTTCCATCCTGGCTCGCCCTTCTCTTGCCTTTTTTCCTTTTTCTTTTGTATTGAGGCATAACTTACATACTGTGGAGTGCCCTAATTATAAAGCTCAGTGGATTTTTACAAACATATGTAATCACTCAGATCAAAGTATCAACAAAGCTGTCCGACAGAAATATAAGAGTAGTCACACAGACGATTTTAAATGTTCTAGTAGTCACGTTAAACAACTAGAAAGGAACAGGTGACTTTAATTTTAATACTATATTTTATTTAGCCTAATGTGTCCAAAATATTATTTCAACATGTAATCAACATAAAATTTTTAATGAGATATTTTACCTTTTGTTGTTTTTCTAAGACTTTGAAATTCCTTGTTTCTTTTGCTTTTAAGGGATATTGTTTGTTTGTTTGTTTGTTTTTAAAGACAGTCTTACTGTGTCTCCCAGGCTGGAGTGTAGAAGTACGATCATGCTTACTGCAGCCTCGACTTCCCTGGGCTCAGGTCATCCTCCTGCCTCAGCCTCCCGAGTAGCTGGGTCTACAGGCGTGCGCCATCATGCCTGGCTAGTTTTTGTAGAGACAGGATTTCATTATGTTTCCCAGTCTGGTCTCGAATTCCTGGTCTCAAGGGGTCCTCCTGCCTCGGCCTCCCGTAGTTCTGGGTTTATAGGTGTGAGCCACCATGCCCAGCTATCCCTGTGTATTTTAGACTTTCAGTACATCTCAATTCAGAATAGCCACATTTCAAGTGCTCCATAGCGACATGTGACCAGTGGTTACTGGATTGGCTGTGGTGGATATGGAACATTTCCGGCATCTGGAAAGTTCCTGTGTCCTCACTTCCCCCACCAGGGGTACCCATTATTCTGAATTTTATCATCCTTCAGTTATCCTTCCCTCTCTACCCCCATAGCTTGTATCTTTTCTTTCTCTTTCTCCCACATCTTACTTTATCTCCTAAGGTCTCCTAGGGTCTCCCTTTCTCTGTTTCTCAGAGTGGCACAAAGCCACTCTGGAAAATCAGGCTGGATTTAAATCCCGGCTCCACCACTGTCTAGCAACTTCGAACAACATACCCTGCCTCTTTGAGCCTCTCTCTCCTCACCAGTTAACAGGGGCAAATAATTTCAGTGTCCATCTCCTGGGATTGTCAGAGTCTGGGGACAGCCTGCAGGTACTAAGTGTTCAACCGAGAAACTCATCACTAAACTAGAAGCCAGCCCTAGTCCTTCTCTCTTTCCTCTTGTAATCCTCTCACTTGCTGGGTCTCCCACTCTGTTCTTCCCTCCCCTGCCTCTGTGTTTGAGCTTTCTCATCTAAGAAATGGGAACGCGTCATAACTACCTACAAGAGGAGCAATTGGTGTGCCGTTCCTGGCCCCTGGTAAGCGCTTAATACGGGGGTTACTCTTCCCCTGTTGCCTTCTCACCTGGACTCTGCCTCCTGGGTGTTCTTTCTCTTCTGGCCTCTAACTCTGCCATTTCTCTCTTCCTTTCTTCTGCCCCCAGCCCCATTTCCCCCTCCTGTTTCTATCCACTTCCCTCCTTCCTTCCTGTGCTCTTCTCTAGCCTTGCTTCTATCCCCAGTCCTGCCCCGTCACACTTGTTTCTCCCACCCCTCCTGGCCGGGCGCTGCTGTGAAGTCAGTGGTCCAGCCCCGATCCCACCCCCAGCACTGGAGGAGACCCAGCACGGGCCTCAGCTCATTAGCCCAGCCCTTCAAGCCTCCAGGTCGGTGCTGGGTCTGCAGGACTCTGCCAGCTGTGGTCCCCACAACCCCACCATCCTAACAGGCCCGCAGGCCACCTTCCCAGGACAACATGTCTTTGTTTTCAGTTCCTTGTCCTGGCCGCCCACTTGGGAGCAGGACTTGTGGCCCCCATACCCTGGGGCTTTTGGGAGCCAACAGGCAGTCCATCCAGGGAAGAAAAGCAAGCAAGGAAAAGTCTCGCAGGAGGCTGAGGGCCCCCTCTGGCCCAGGAGGCTGGAAGCAGTCCCTCCTGCTTATTTTTCCACATGTGGAAGGAGGGCTTTGAAATGCAGATTCCTGGCCCTGTGCTAGCTTGCTAGCTTTAGTCCTTGAAGCTATCCTCCTTTTTCTGACTACTTGTTTCTTTTTTTTTTTTTTTTTTTTTTTTTTTTTTTTGAGGCAGAGTCTTACTCTGTCGCCCAGGCTGGAGTGCATGGAGTGCATGGAGTGCAGTGGCGCAACCTCAGCCCACTGCAGCCTCTGCCTCCCGGGTTCAAGCCATTCTCCTGCCTCAGCCTCCAGAGTAGCTGAGATTACAGGTGTGCACCTCTACACCAGCTAATTTTTTGTATTTTTGGTAGAGACGGGATTTCACCGTGTTGGCCAGGCTGATCTTGAACTCCTGACCTCAGGTGATCTGTGTGCCTCGGCCTCCCAAAGTGCTGGAGTTACAGGTGTGAGCCACCCTGCCTGGCCAACCTCCTTCAACCAGAGGAACCAGCCCTCCTCTCTGTCCCCTTAGTTCTGATGACACCGTCAGTCACAGTGCTGCCCCCATGGTTGTGACCAGGACTGACCAATCATAGAACCCCATGACCTCTTGGCCTCAGAGCTTGGTTCCCAGAGGGAAGCAGGGCCATCATTTTGGCAAATGGCCCCAGGAGAAACAGGGTCTGTCTCTCTCTCTGTCTCTCTCTCTCTCTGTGGCAATTCCAGCTGTAAGAGTGTTGGCTTGGGGCTGCCAGTGGCCATCTTTCCTACTAGATACTGTCAGATCCAGCATTTTCCAGCTGCGTCACCTGGGGCAGGTTATCTAACTTTTCTGTGCCTCCATTTCCTTATCTGTAAAGTGAGAGTATTAATAGCACCTGCCTCATAGTGGTGTGCACAGAGTGGTGCCTAGCACATAGTTAACAGCTAAGTCACCATCATCATCATCACCACCACTACTACCACCTGCAGTGAGTCCAACCTTGGCAGGAGAGAATGAAACTTACACACAAGAAACAGAGACATCTGAGCTGAGAGATGGGGAAGAAGAGGAGAGATAGAAAGAGAACTGGCTGGGTGCAGTGGCTCACACCTGTAATCCCAGCACTTTGGGAGGCTGAGGCGGGCAGATCACCTGAGGAGTTCGAGACCAGCCTGGCCAACATGGTGAAACCCCATCTCTACTAAAAATAGAAAAATTAGCCAGCCATGGTGGTGCACGCCTATAATCCCAGCTACTTGGGAGGCTGAGGCACGAGAATCACTTGAACCCAGGAGGCAGAGATTGCAGTGAGCCAAGATTGAGCCACTGCACTCCAGGTTGGGCGATAGTGCGAGACTCTGTCTCAAAAAGCAAAAAACGAAAAGACAAAAGGAAAAATACAACTAGAGAACTAGAGAAGGCTCTTTGACTATATTGTTTGACCTCCTGGATCCAGGAATCCTTGAAGCCAGAGCCACCCCTGCCTTCCCAGTTTTGTGACCTAATACATTTCCTTCTTTGTGGAAGCTACTTCATGTTAGCTGTCACTTATAGCCTAAAGTGACACCAGTAGTTGTTTTAACAGTGCATAGAGGCCCAGAATGGCGGAGCTGGGTCAACACCCCCATCACACAGAACACTGAGGCCCAGAGAGGGAGAGCAGCTTGCCCAAAGTCACACAGATACAGAGGATGCGCACCTAGCTACCTGACTTCAAATGCCACACTTTAACCCTGTTTTCATGTTATAAATGGTGACATATAAAAATCAGGCCAAGCGTGGTAGCTCACACCTGTAATCCCAGCACTTTAGGAGGCCGAAGTGTGTGGATCGCTTGAGGTCAGGAGTTTGAGACCAGCCTGGCCAATGTGGCAAAACCCTGTCTCTACTAAAAATATGAAAATGAGCTGGGCGCCGTGGCGCATACCTATAATCCCAGCTACTCTGGTGGCTGAGGCAGGAGAATTGCTTGAACCCGGAAGGCGGTGGTTGCAGTGAGCCGAAATTGCACCACTGCACTCCAGCCTGGGTAAACAGCAAGACTCTGTCTAAAAAAAATAATAATAATAATTCTTCTGCTTTCCTGGTCCACTGCCATCCTCTTTGACCAGACTTAATTTATTTTTTCATATTTCCAGGCTGCTAACAGTGCTGCAGCTAACATTTATTGAGCACTTACCATGCGCCAGGCACTGAACTCAATGCTTTACACACATTTGCTCATTCATCCTCCCAACAACCCTAGGAGCCAGGGGCTACCATTAGCCCCATTTTACTAGCGAGGAAACTGAGGCACAAAAGGATGAAGTGACTTGCCCCAGGTAACTCAGGAAGAGACAGAATCAGAATTCAAATTCAGGTCATCTGACTCCCAAGTCCATGCTCTTTGCCATTGTGCTTGCTCAGAATCCAGGGCCTCATCTCTGAAGAGGCAGAGCTAGGATCTGCACCCAGGGCCACGTTTCTTTCCCAGGTCTTTCCCATGGTATTTCTGTGCCCAACATGGCAGTCACTGGCCAACCCTCCCCGTCTCACTCCTACCCTCATCATTTTCTAGAACATTTGTTATGTATAGACTCCCATTCCTAGTATCTTCAGCATTAGAGCTCTCTATGAGCCATGCCTATGGGAAACCCAGCTGTTTCAAAGCACAAGGCCATTTACTTTGCCCCCTCATTTGTCCATTACTCATTCAGCAAATATTTCTTGGTCACCTACTGAGTCCCAAACGCTTTCTATTAGTTAGGATTGGAATCAAATAGTAACAGCAAAGAATCCAAAATAATAAGACTTAAATTTAAAAAATGTATCTCTTTCTCATGTAAAGGCCAAAGATAAGCAGCCCGAGCCTGGGAGTATGACACCTTCCAGCCCACTGCTTCACCAGCTCTAGGGTGTGGGATTCCCCCTCATGGTCCAAGATGGTAGCAAGAGCACCAGCCATCACATCCAAGTTCCAGACAGTAGGATAGAGAAAGTGGGGAAGAATAAGGTGAAAGCTTCTCTGAAGTTTCTACATGATGCTTATAATTGTGTTCATGGTGAAGACCCTCTTCCTGGCTTGCAGAAGGTTGTCTTCTCACTGTGTCCTCAAGTGGCAGAGAGATCTCTCATGTCTCTTCCTATAAGGGAACCAATCCCATCATGAGAGCTCTACTCTCATGATCTAATTACCTTTCAGAGGCCTTATCTTTAAATACCATGACATTAGGGATTAGGGCTTCAACAAAGGAACTTGAGGTGGGCACAGTTCAGTCTATAGCACCAGCTGAGTAGCCTTAGATGGTACTTTAGTTTTTGTTGTTGTTGTTGTTGACTTGAAAAAACCATTTAATTCTCACAATTTTGCAGGTCAGGAGTTCAGTCAGGACACACCGGGTACAGCTTGTCTCTCCTCCCCATGATATCTGCTGGGGCTGGACTGTCCAAGATGGCATCTTCACTCCCAGGTCTGATGCGTCAGCTGCAATGGCAGGAATGGCCTTCTTAAGGTCCTGTATCTGGGGCCTCAGTTCTCACCGTTGGCTGGTTTTCATGTTTCTCCTCCAATTAGTCTCAGAGCTGCTCCCCTTCCACATGTCCTCTTCACTGGGACTCTCCTTATAGCTTGGGCTTCCCACAAACATGGTGGCTGGAGGAGGGAGAACAAGCAAAAGGAAGGAAGTGAAAGCTGTCTGATCTCTTAAGGCCTAGGCTTGGAAGTCCCAGATATCACTTTTGCCTTAATTCTAGTTCACCTTAGTTCATTTGAACCTGCATTTTCTCATCTCTAAAATAAGGCAGCAGTAACATAATGGCCACATTTCTGGATTATCATGAGGGCCAGTACTAGCTGTATCATGTACTGGGCCCTTCTTATGTACCTGTGTTTTAGATTTATTGGCTTATTTAATCCATAAGATCACCTTGGTGTGTTGAATACAGGTTTTACTGACATGTGAGAGCCAATGGTTACATTTTCATGAAATTTGCAAACAGTTGTTAAATCATTGGTAGCTTGAAGCTGGCCTTGTGGGAACATTTATACCACAGAAATTGGCAAACACACAAATCAGGGCCTTTTCTTTCCCCCAGAGACCTAGTTTTCCAGCACAGCACTGCATGCATATCTATATGTATGTGTGTATGTATGTGTGTATTCAACCCCATTTACAGATGAAGAAACTGAGGGTCATAGAGGTTGAATTATTGTGCCAAATCAACCAATTTAATAGGTGATAGATGTGACCTTAGAATCCCAAATCCCACGCCTTTAAACCACTAGGCTGTCCTGCCTCCACAGATGAAAAAATGTGTATAAAAGAGATTCGTAAACAGGCAAAGCTGTATAAATATTATTCATCTTGATACAGAAAAAAAAAGGTTTCATCTCTGTCTGTGCATTTTTCATACATTGAAGCTGCTGACAGATACTTGATTATGCCTCTCCTCCCTTCCTCCCCACCCCCACAAGTCTTCAAATCATCTTTCCCATGTAGGTGCGTTCTTCCAAAAAATTCTCCTCTCTGTTCATTTCTTCTGCTTCTCAGCATCCTACTCTCCTTCATTTCCCACCCGCTTCTGGAGCCAGCCCTCTGTTGTTTCGATGTTTCCCATTTCTCTTATTGTCCCACCCCTCATCTTGGCAGTGAGGAAGTCGGAATAGAATCCGCCTTCCCAACTTGACACTCCCACCCCCTTTATCTGAATCCAAGCAGAGAACCGTCCATGCCCAAGCACGTCCTGCAACAATTGCTACCGTTTCCCCTTCACGGTGGCAGGGAGGCGAGACAGCTCATAATCTGATCGTATTCCTTGTTCTCTGAAGCCCCAGAGAAACCACACATCCCATTTGGTGGTCGTCAGAAATAACATGCTTAAGAAACCTGGAATTATAAAACTGCTTAATTAGGGAGAGATGGTTTTGCTGGGATATGCCCAGTTTTCCTTGGTGGTTTGATCTCCTTTTCAAAGTGGCCCACCCCCGGCAGCTAATTGCTACCTTTAACGGGGTGCCACATAGGCTCTCACTCTCCTAAATTTATTTGCTGTGACATCAGTGCTTGCTTATAAAGAGATATTCTCTCTTCAGCGTTTCAACTCTCCTCCATCAGCAAACTGTAGGAAGTTGACTTGAGTAATAAGGATGGAATCTTCAGCTTCAAGAGGTCCTCCTTTGTTACATGAGCACCTACTACATGCTAGATGCTGGGAATATACCCAGAGTCAAATTATCTTCTCCCGTAAGGGGCTTACAGTCCAGTGGGAGGGATGGATAGTAAAAATAATTTTTTAATATTGTGAAAAATGCTTTGAAGGAGTGATTTAGGGGCTGGGTGTGGTGAATCATACCTGTAAACAGCACTTTGGGAGGCCGAGGCGGGTGGATCACCTGACTCAGGAGTTCGAGACCAGCCTGGGCAACATGGTGAAACCCTGTCTCTACTAAAATACAAAAAATTAGCTGGGTCTGGCAGCAGGTGCCTGTAATCCCAGCTACTCAGGAGGCTGAGGCAGGAGAATCGTTTGAATCCAGGAGGCGGAGGCTGCAGTGAGCCGAGATCATGCCACTGCACTCCAGCCTAGGCAACAGGGTGAGACTCCATCTCAAAAAAAAAAAAAAAGAAAGAAAGAAAGAAAGGAGTGATTTAGGGGAGTCTTCAAAGGTGTACATAACAGGAGCACCTGATTCAATTAAAAAGTCAGGGAAGGCTTTTCATAGGCGGTGACAGTTAGCTGAGACCCAAAAGATGAATAGATGTTAGCTCAGCAAAGAGTAGAGGGACCACTATTCCATCTGCAAAGGAAGAGCTTGGTGTCCTTAAGCAACCGAAAGACAGGGAAAGAAGCTGGTATTAGAGCCTTCTGGGAAATCCTGGGGATGTGTTAGAATCCCCATCGTGACTTATCTAGATTCTGATAGAACAGACCACAGGTCAGAAAACTACAGGCTACAGGCCAAATACGTCCTGCCACTTGTTTTTATAAATAAAGTTTTATTGGAACACAGCCACACCCATTCACTTACCTATTGTCCACAGCTATTTTCCTACTGTAGTGACAGAGGTGAGTAGTGGTGCCACAGACCGTATGGCCTGCAAAGGCTAAGTACTCACTACCTGGTTATTTGTAGAAAAAGTTTGCCAACACTTGTTCTAGAGCTGCCCAATAGCAAGTGGGAAGTTTGGGATTTGGCCCAGAAACCAGCCTGCAGCTCAGGGGCCTGAGAATTGGAAGATCCAAAGACAGTGACCAAAACTAAACCTAAGGTGGCAAGTGACAATCCTAGGTCTGATCCCAGCCTCTTTGGTTCCTGGGGCTGTGCTCTTGACCACCAAGCCAGACTGGTTGTTGAGACTGGCCTGCAAGGAAGAACAGAGAGAGGGGACCAGAGTCAGCCAGATGCCAGCAGGCAGGGGCTCCCAGAGACACAGGGACGTTTCATGGGGTAGCCGTGTCCTTACCTGTCATGAGACCAGGCAGACGAAGCAGGAGGCTGCCCACCAAGATGGCGCTCAGACCAGTGACCATCTTTTCCTTCACCTCTTGGCTCTGGAACACCCTTCCTCCCTTACCTGCCCTCATTTCTTCACCAGCTTGGCTCTTATTCATCCATTAAAGTAGTGCTTCTCAAACTTGGATGTGCACTCGGGTCACCTGGGGACCTTATTAAATTGTAGATTCTATTTCAGGAGGTCTGGGGTGAGGCCTAAGAGCCTGCATTTCTAACCAGCTCCCAGGCGATGCTGATGGTGCTGGTTCATGGCTCACACTTTGGGTGGCTGGAAAGATAACTTCTCTTAGACTTTGTTGATCAGTTTCCCCTCCACATCCCATGCCTCAATTCTGGGGCCCACTCACATTCACCTCTAGCAGAGTTCTACCACACTGTATTATAGTAGTTTGCTTAGTGATGGTCTTCCTCATTGGGTAGCAAGCTTCCTGATGAAGGGATGAGGTCTTAGTTATCTTAGTACCTCCAGAACCTGGCATTGTGTCTGGTGCATAGTAGGTGTCCAGAAATGGAAGCAAGGATGGGAGGGAAGAAGAAAGGGAGTGGGCAAGGAAGAGAGGGAGGGAGGGGCAGAGGAAAGGGAAGGAAGGCAGCATCAATGGATAAAAGGCAGGAAGGGAGGGAAGGAAGAAAGGAAATACAGATGGGTGGAAGAAAGAAAGGTAAGGAAGGAAGGAAACAAGAGTGATCTAGGGGTGCACTGAATGTAGGGAAGAGTGACAAAAGCAGGTTAAGGCCAGGCATGGTGGCTCACATCTGTAGTCCCTACAGGGGACTCAGGAAGCCAAGCTGGCAGGAGGATCACTTGAGCCCAAGAGATGGAGACCAGCCTGGGCAACATAGATAGACCCCATCTCTAAAACACACAATGTTTTAAGTGGAAAAAAAAAAAACTGCAGGTCAAGACTCGCAGTTGAGAGAGGTTGGACAGTTTAGTCCAGGGTAAGATGGAATATGCAAGAGTTGAGAGACCATGGGTGAGAGCAATTTGGGAGACATGAGGGAGGCATGGGGCAGCTGAGGGTGGGTGGTTCAGGGAATGAAAGTTCAAATCATGGATATTCTGCAGATCTTGGGGTCTGCAGCAGGATATGGACAGGCTTGGTTAGCCCTGGCCATACACTAAGTTGCTGTCCATTGGTCCAGCATCCATCATGCCCTTGTCCATGTAAAACAAACATGACGGCCACCCCCTACATCTCTGTACTCCAGTCACCCCCCATCTTCCCAAAAGTTCCAGAGGGAAACCAGCATTTCCCTCCAGGGGATGTTTCTGGGGCTCAGGGACTGGTGGGAGTCAGGAGGGGAAAGGAGGGCCCTTTGGGAAACAATGGCCTCACAACTGGAGGTGGCGAACTAGTCACAAAAATCAGGCAGGGGGTGAGTGATGATTGGATGCCCTTTCTTGGTCCTTGGTAGATGTGGGTGTACGTGCTCCAAGGAATCCTCTTCTGAGTGACATGTGCCCAGCCCATCAAGATGGAATATAAAAGTTGGCTATAAATCTCTGTCCACATGCCACGCATACGATGTAATCTTGGCTCACTTCAACCTCCACCTCCTGGGTTCAAGTGATTCTCATGTAGCTGGGATTATAGGCACGTGCCACCATACCCGGCTATTTTTTTGTATTTTTGGTAGAGACAGGGTTTCACCATGTTGGCCAGGCTGGTCTTGAACTCCTGGCCTCAAGAGATCTGTCCACCTTGGCCTCCCAAAGTGCTGGGATTACAGGTGTGAGCCACCATGCCCAGACTCATTTCCCCTCTAATTTAAACATATCACATGCTCAGTATAAAAAATCTGGAGAGAGCATAAAAACACAAAGAGAATGAGGATTTTTTTTTTTTGCATTCTCTATTATTTCCATTTGGAACAATAATATGAGCATTTGCTTGGGTCAAATGATATCTTTCATCAGGATGATTTCTTTTTTAACTTTTAATTTTGAGATAATTTTAGACTTAAAGAAAAGTTGCAAAAGTAATGCTGCGAGTTCCCATATACCCTTCATTCCTCTTCCCCTAATGTTGATATCTGATATACCAGAGTCCAATTAGCAAGGGCAGGAAATGAACATCAATACTGTTACTACTAACCTAAAGACCTCATTCACATTTTGCCAGTTGCCCCATTGACATTATTTTGTTTTTCAATTTTTATTGTTGTTTTTTTGTTTTCGAGACAGGGTCTTACTCTGTCACCCAGGCTGGAGTGCAGTGGCACAATCATAGCTCACTGCAGCCTCGAACTTCTGGGCTCAAGCAATTCTCCCACCTCAGCCTCTCAAGTAGCTGGGACCACAGGAACTCACCACCACTCCCAGATAATCTTTTAATTTTTTGTAGACACAAGATCTTGCTCTATTGCCCAGGCTGGTCTTGAACTCCTGGGCTCAAGGGATCCTCCCACCTTAGCCTCCCAAAGTGTTGGGAGTACAGGTGTCAGCCATTGCACCTGGCCTATTGACATTTTTTGCTAGTATAGGATTGAATCAGGGCTGGGCGCGGTCGCTCACACCTGTAATTTTAGCACTTTGGGAGGCTGAAGTGAAGTAGGTGGATCACCTGTGGTCAGGAATATGAGACCAGCCTGGCCAACATGGTGAAACCCCATCTCTACTAAAAATACAAAAATTAGCCGGGCATGGTGGTGTGTAATCCCAGTTACTTGAGAGCCTGAGACAGGAGAATTGCTTGAACCCAAGAGGCAGAGGTTGCAGCGAGCTGAGATTGTGCCACTGCACTCCACCCTGCCTGGGTGAAAGAGCAAGACTCCGTCTCAAAAAAAAAAAAAGAGAGAGAGAGAAAGAGAGTATAGGATTGAAACCAAGATCCCATGTTACATTATTTGTCACGTCTCCTTAATTCTCTCCAACCTCACACTCCTTGGTCTTCCCTTTGTCTTTCATGATCTTGACATTTTTGAAGAGTGTTGGGCCCCTTCAACTTGGGGCCAGGTGCAATGGCTCATGCCTATAATCCCAGCACTTTGGGAGCCTGAGGTAGGAGGATCCCTTGAGCCCAGGAGTTTGAGACCAGCCTGGACAACACAGCATGACCTCGTCTCTCTACAAAAAAAAAAAAGAGAGAGAGAGAGATAATATCCTTCAACTTGGATATGTCTCTTGTTTTCTCATGATTAGATTAGAATTTATTGCTGAGTTTTGGTGAGAATACCACAGAAGTGATACTGTGTCTTTTCAGGACATCATGTCAGAGGGTTCAGGATGTCAAAATGACTTCTCACTGGGGATGTTAACCTTGATCACCTGATTAATATGATGTATGTTTCCTTTCTTCACCATAAAGTTGCTATTTCTTCAGGGTACATTTTTAATGGCTGTATGGCTTTCCATTATAGATCTCTAACATAATCAGACCCTCTTTTTTGTACATTGTGTTTTTTACTTTTTTTTTTTTAGTATTACAAAGAATGCTGTAGTGACCATTCCTATAGGCACATCTTTGCACCTATCTCTGATTATTTTGTTAGGGTAAATTGCCAGACATAGAATTGTTAGAGTAAAGATTATACATATTTTTACAGATATGGATGCTTGGGGCAGTGTTGTTTGTTTGATTTTATCAGCTTTATAGAAGCAGGATTTAAATACAGTAAACTGCACATGTTAGGAGTGTATATTTCAATGAGTTTTGGCAAACGTGCGCACCCATGTATCCCCCATCCCAATCAAGATATAAAATATTTCATATTTCTAGGCCAGGTGCAGCAGCTCACACCAGTAATTCCAACACTTCAGGAGGCTGACAAGGGGCAGATTGCTTGAGCCCAGGAGTTTGAGACCAGCCTGGGCAACATGGTGAAATCCTGTCTCTACTAAAAATACAAAAAAATTAGCCAGGCGTGGTGGTGTGTACCCGTGATCCCATTTACTTGGGAGGCTGAGGTGGAAGGATTGCTTGAACCTGGGAAGTCGAGGCTGCAGTGAGCCATAGTCGCACAACTGCACTCCAGCCTGGGCAACATAGCAAGACCTTGTCTCAAAAAAAAAAAAAAAAAAATATATATATATATATATATATCTTTCTATCCCTTTCCAAAATTTCCTGACACCTCCTTGCAGTCAGTTCTCCCCACCTCTCACCCCAGACGACCAGGGATCTGATTTCTATTATCTCAGATTAGTGTTACCTATTCTAGGACTTAGTATAAACCAGAATTATACAACAAATATTCTTCCATGACTGTCTTCTTTGATTCGACATAATGTTTGTGACATTCACCCATGTCATCGCGAATCTCAGGCATTCATGTATACTTATTGCTGGACAGTATCCTGTTGTATAAATACGCCATCATTTGTTTATCCGTTCTTCCATTGATGGGCGTCTGGGCTGCTTCCAGTTTGGGGATTTTATGAATAAAGCCACTAAGGACATTGGCATACATGTGGACATATGTTTTCATTTCTCTCGGGTAAATAGCTCAGACTGGAATTTCTGGGTCATAAAGTAGGTATGTATTCAACTTTATTAGACACTACAGAGTGGGTGTATTTTCATCTCCATTTTACAACACAGGCCACAGAAAGCTTCAGGGACTTGTCCAAGGTCAAGGGGAGGAAGAGAAATAGGATTTTTCTCCAGGAATAATGCTAGGTGCTTATCCTGTTCATCTCCTTTAATCCTCAAAGCAACCCCGTAAGGTGGGAATTCTGATTCCCATTCTGTAGATGGGGAAACTAAGGGTCATGAACATCCAGCAAGGTCAGGTTCAATCCCAGCCCAGTGTGAGTACCCAAGTCGTGTTCTTTTTTTTTTTTTTTTTTTTTTTTGAGATGGAGTCTTGCTCTGTTGCCCAGGCTGAAATACAGTGGTACAGTGGTGTGATATCTTGGCTAACTGCAACTCTGCCTCCCAAGTTCAAGCAATTCTCCTGCCTCGCTTGAGTAGCCTCCGAGTAGCTGGGATTACAGGTGCGCCACCACGCTCAGCTAATTTTTGTATTTTTAGTAGAGTTGGGGGTTCGCCATGTTGGCCAGGCTGGTCTTGAACTCCTGACCTTAAGTGATCCACCTGCCTGGGCCTCCCAAAGTGCTGGGATTACAGGCATGAGCCACCACACCCGGCCCCTGTTCTTTCTCAACACAACTAGGTATTCATCCTGCCTCCTTGGAAGAGAGCAGGTGGTGGAGCTAGGAAGGACACGTATCTCCCCGCTTTGGGCCTTATTGCCTGGCCTTACCTGCATTCTGTGCCCATCCTGCCCAGGCCCCTGAGAGCAGTCGCCTGTGATGCTCGAGTCAGCCCTCTAAAGATGAGGATGGCCTGGATGCGGAGGGCAGGGACTGTGCCCCCACCTTGGGCTTTGAGCCTTCCAAGCCACAGCGAGACCCAGAGGGTGACCCACTCTCCAGCCCTCTGCCCAAAGGTGTAGGGTTTCTCCTACCCTGAAACTCGATCCTCAATCCTGGGCACTTTGGTCTTCTGGGCTGCTGGGTGGCGGGTGAGGGCAGTGGGCAGGGGCCGCGTCTCCCTGGCCATATCGCAGCCCCATTAGGAGCTGGCCTGAGTGCTTTCCAGAGCTGATTAATGGCCTGCCTGTGACCTAGAATGTCATCACTGCCCGGGGCGGGGGGCCCCCCAGCTGGGTCCTTTGGGTCTTTACTGCTAATAATAATTGATGTTCTCTGTGTGGTTGCAGGGAAAGTTCTATCTGGTCATCGAGGAGCTGAGCCAGCTGTTCCGATCCCTTGTCCCCATCCAGCTGTGGTACAAATACATCATGGGTGACGACTCCTCCAACAGCTACTTCCTGGGCGGGGTCCTGATCGTTCTCTACAGCCTCTGCAAGGTGAGGTGGCCCCAAGGCTGGAGGGCCGGCCTAAGGAGGGCCCCATTCACTAGTCAGGCCTCAGGGGGCTCCTGGGCAACCTAGAATACCCATGCTGATTTATTTATTTATTTATTTTAATTGAGGGAAAATTCATACGACATGAAATTAACCACTAACTGTTTTATTTTTATTTTATTTTATTTATTTATTTTTGAGATAGAGTCTCACTCTGTCTCCCAGGCTGGAGTTCGGTAGCGCAGTCTCGGCTCACTGCAACCTCCACTCCTGGGTTCAAGTGACTCTCTTGCCTCAGCCTCCAGAATAGCTGGGACTACAGGCATCCACCACTATACCCAGCTAATTTTTTGTATATTTAGTAGAGACAGGGTTTCACCATGTTGGCCAGGCTGGTTTTGAACTCCTGACCTCAAGTGATCTGCCCACCTCTGCCTCCCAAAGTGCTGGGATTACAGGCATGAGCCACCACGCCCGGCCTCCAGTAACTATTTTAAAGTGTATAATTAAATGGCATTGAGCGGATTCACAATGTCACACAACCACCACCACCTCTGTCTAGTTCCAAGACATTTTCATCACCCTGAAAAGAAATACCCATTAAGCAGTCACTCCCCATTCTTCCAACCTCCCCTTCCCCCAGTCCTTGGCAACCACAAATCTGCTTTTTCTGTCTCTATGAATATACTTATTATGAATGTTTCATATAAATGGAATCATGTAATAGGTGCCCTTTTGTGTCTGGCACTTTCATTTAACATTGTATTTTTGAGGTTCATCCACATTGTAACATGTATCAGTATTTTTTATGGTTTAATCTACCCTAATTTCTCACCTATGAAGCTCACCATATGATATTCTTTCCAATAGTCATCTTCACAAACCCTTCAAGGTACATACTATTATTACTCCTTTTTTTTTTTTTTTTTTAGACCGAGTCTCGCTCTGTTGCCCAGGCTGGAGTGGAGTGGTGCAATCTTGGCTCATTGCAACCTCCGCCTCCCGGGTTCAAGCGATTCTCATGTCTCAGCCTCTCTAGTAGCTGGGATTACAGGCATTCACCACTATACCTGGCTAATTTTTGTATTTTTAGTAGAGATGGTGTTTTACCATGTTGGCCAGGCTGGTCTCAAACTCCTGACCTCAAGTGATCCACCTGCCTCAGCCTCCCAAAGTGCTGGGATTACAGGCATGAGCCACCCCACCTGGCCCCCATTATTCCCATTTTACAGGTTAAGAAACTGAGGTTCAGGGAGGTTAGAAACTGAGGTTACTTGCCCAAGGTCACTCAGGTAAAGACAACAGAATAAGCATTGAACCCAGGCAGGCTGCCTCTAAAGCCATAAGCTCCCAACCACACTTCTACTGAATGTTTTCTATCTCTCTTACCTCAAAAATAGTATCCGTGTTAAATTGCACACCCTCAACTCCTCAAATTAGTATGTAGTGCTTTTCTTTTCATCATTAGTACAAATCAGAGGTTTTTTTACCCTCTAAAAATCCATACATCCTTCTCTTTCTCTTTGGTTCTCCATTTCTGGCTTTAGAGAATCCTGGGAGGATGCATGAGTTCTTCTCTTTCCTTCCTTCCAGCAGGACTGGCAAGGCAATCCATGTAGTATCAGCCATTGGGGCATACTGATTACTTGCTGGTTCTGATCAACACAGTGGCTGACTGGAGTGCTAGATGGAGAAGGGTTATCAGGGTGGGCTGGGCTCAGAGGAAGAGTGCTGTGATCGATTATCAATGCCTGCTGTGGGCTTGGGAAGGGAAATAGGCACTATGCATGCCATATATTTGCTATTCTGGCCTAGGTAGCAGGGGAAACTCTTGATATTAGGCAACAAGACAAAAGCCATGCAACACTGTTGGGAAGGAAGAAGTGCAAATGAGAAGAGGAGCCCTAAAAATGTTCTGAGTCAAAAATGGGTGGAGGGTCAGAGGATGGGGTGGGGTGATTGTGCAGGGGTCACGAGTGATCCTTGGGTACATTTCAGCCACCACCCTGCTCTCCTTTCAGTCCTTCGACATCTGTGGACGTGTGGGCGGAGTTAGGAAAGCCCTGAAGCTTCTCTGTACCTCTCAGGTGAGTTGGCTTCAGGTGGTCCCCACCAGGGTCCTGAGAATCAGGAACTGGAAACAGCAGCGACCCCTTCCTCAGCCCACAGATCTCACAGTGCTCCTGAGGGCGTAGTTCCCAAGGGCGCCCATAGCTGTATTTGCTTCTCCCCTCCCTCAAAGAACTATGGAGTCCGAGCCACCGGGCAGCAGTGCACAGAAGCTGGTGACATCTGCGCCATCTGTCAGGCCGAGTTCCGAGAGCCTCTGATTCTCCTGTGCCAGGTGAGCAGGGCTCAGGCGGGACCATTGGAGACCAAGGCTGGGGGAGAGTAGGACCCTTCCCCATGGGCAGTCCTCGGGTCTCTGGCATGGGTCTCTGGGGGGCAATCCGGTTAAGACCGGAGTCAGCCAGACCTGGGTTCCAATCTCACCTCTGCCTCTTAGTAGCTGGGTGGACTTGGGCACGTTATTTCACCTCTCTGAGGCTTGGTTTCCTTAGTAAGATGTAGAATGCCAAATTCCGTATGGTGTAACATCAAAATATCCTGCATGTGAATTTCAGCAGCATTCTTGACCCCCTGTGGGTCAGTCACTCTCTCTCTGAGCCTTGGTTTTTCTCATGTCTAAAATGGACATAATAGTGGCCAGGCACAGTGGCTCACACCTGTAATCCCAGCATTTTGGAAGGCCGAGGCAGGCAGATCACCTGAGGTCAGGAGTTCGAGACCAGCTGGGCCAACATGGTGAAACCCTGTCTCTACTAAAAAAAAAATACAAAAATTAGCCAGGCATGGTGGCACACACCTCTAGTCCCAGCTACTCTGGAAGCTGAGGCAGGAGAATTGCTTGAACGCGGGAGGCAGAGGTTGCAGTGAGCCGAGGTCATGCCACTGCACTCCAGCCTGGGCAACAGAGCAAGACTACATCTCAAAGAAAAAAAAAAGGACATAATAATAACAGCTACTTCATAGGGCTATTATTATGATTAAAGTAGATCATCCATGGAAAGAACTAAATTTCAATTATTCAACCATAGAAGTTGCTAGAATTATCATTGTCATCTGTATAATTATTATTACCATTTGTTTTTATTAGTCGTGGGTCACCAGCCCACAGTCGTAAGTGCTGGCCGGTTCCTTTTAAATCCCTAAATGCATCCCTCCTCCTCCTCCTGACATCAGGGACTAGGTGTCAATTCAGCAAATGTGTATTGGGGTCAAAGCATCCTATCTGACCCAGGAAGGAGAGGCAGAGGGCCCACAGATCCCGTCCCCTCCTCTGGAAGCTCACAGTCTCTGCCGGGAGACAGACACTTACATAAATAACTGTGAAGCAAGGCAGGCAGTGATAAGTGCCGTGTAAGAGAGATTCATGCAGTGTCTCGGGGGACTGAGGCAGAGAGCGATGAGTTCCAGGTTGGGAAGGGTTTTTGGAGGAGGCATAGCCTGGAGACTAAAAGGCATGGAAAGGCTTACGGGTAGGGGGATAGAAGGTGGGTTCCTTTTTAACATCGACAAGCATTTTTGTTGCTGTTGTTATTGCTGTTTGGAGATTTGGAAGGGGGAGGTTGTTTTTCATGTTCAATTGTATTTCTTTTTAAATGGATAATATATTTGCATGAATCAACATTCAAAAAGAAGACTAAAGAGACATGATGACTAAACACAGTCTGGGACCTGGGTTGGATCCCAGAACAGAGAAGGGACATTAGTAGAAAACAGGTTTGATGAAATCCAAATAGAGTCTGGAGTTGAGTTAATAGTAACATATCAACGTGGGTTTCTTAGCTTTGACAAATGTACCACGGTAATGCAAGATGATGACATTAGGGGAAACTGAAACCCAGTGAGGGGTGTACTGGGATTTTCTGTTCTATCTTTGCAACTTTTCTGTAAGCCTTAAATTATTCCAAAATAAAAAGTTTACTTTAAAAAAAATCTTTGAAAGATATAAAAAGGAGGCCTGTCACCATATGTATGTATATGTGTGTATATATTTATACACACACAAACATATTTTTTTAAAAAAAAACATAAGTTATAGTACATTCTACCTATGCTGTTTTCTGCACCTTCCTTTTTAACTTAAAACTCTATCTTAGAGATTGCTCCTTATCCTATTTTATAGCTGCATAATGTGCCATTTTATGAATAGACCAGTTTGTTTAACCATTCTTCTATTGATAGGCATTTAGTAGCTGATAATCTTTTGTTATTACAAATAAGGCTGTCATGAATGATCCAGAATGGGGAGATCAATTGCACCAACCTGGGCCCATCGTGTTGATTAAAGGTTAATTCAAGGGAAGCATTTAGAACTGCTCCTGGCACGTGGTCAGGGTTCAATAAATATTAGCTCTTATGGGCATGCATCCCATTTCACACACACATGAGCTCTTGGTAGGATAAATTTCTAGTGGAAGAATTACTGGGTCAGAAGGCACACAGTTTTGACAGTTATTGCTAAACTGCCCTCTGTAAAGAATGTATCCACTTAGGCTGTTAGTATGCAGTATGACACAGCCGCTTGCTTCTTCCCTCACCAACACACAGCGTTACCAAGCCTCTTTTGAGCTTTGCCAATCTGACAGGTGACAAACGGTATCTCAGTGCAGTTTTAATTTGCATTTCCCTAATTATGAGCGTGGTTGAGCATCTTTTCATATGCTTCAGAGCCATCTGTAGTTCCTTCTTGGTAGCAGGGACAATTTGAACATGATGTCAAGGTGAAAGTCTGACAAGCTCTCTAAGCCTCAGTCTGTTTGTCTCTCCTCCATTCTTCTCCTGATACCACTATGTGCAACTGGATTAGAAATTCTTGGGAGGAGTCAGACAAGACACCCATTGTCCCAGATCTAGGAGTAACAGCTGTACCCAGTGCTGGTTGAAGACTGTACATATGACCAGGCCAGGCACACATTTTAGTCTTGCTCTGTTGCTGTGAGCTAGGCCTGGAAAGGCAGAGATGATTCACATAGGTAAATGGGTCATGCTGATTCCTAAAAGCATTGAATGAATGAACAAATGAATGAATGACTTGGTTGCGATGTTGCTTCCTCCATAAAGTCTTTCCTGACTCTGCTTCTCCAGACTAGTCACGTCCCTGGCTATATGGTCTCATAGATGCCTGTGTTTTTCCTACTTAGCACTTATTCCAATTGTTAACTAGGTAGTTCATTTGGTAATTAGATGGGCAAGGTCTGTCTGCCTCCTGGTGAATCACAAGCAACATGAGAGCAGATACCATGTCTGTCTTGTTTAGCAGCAGAGCCACAGTACTGTCTCAGTAAATATTGGATGGATGGATGGATGGAGGGATGGATGGACAGAAGGAAGGATGGATGGGATGGTTGGATGGAATGTTTAGATTAATAGGATGGTTGGGTGGGTGGATGGATGGATGGATGGATGGGATGGGTGGGTGGGTGGATGGATGGATGGATGGATGGATGGATGGATGGATGAATGGAAGTGAATGATGGACAGGTGGAGAAGTTGGTGGGTGAGTGAACGGTAGGTGGACAGAGGTATAAGGGGGTGAGTGACTGTATGGATGGGCAAATGGATGGACAGATGAGTGGGTAAATAGGATGGATGGACAGATGGACGGATGGATGGAATGGTGTCCAAGTGGAGGAGTGGATGGGTGAGTGTAAAGGTGGGTAGATAGAGGTATAAGTGGGTGAGTGACAGTGTGGGTGAGCAAATGAATGGACAGATGGGTGGGTATATAGATGGGTGGGTGGGTGAATGGATAGGTGGAAGGAAGGAAGGAAGGGAGGGAGGGAGGGAGGGGCGGAGGGGCCCACTAGGCTAAAGCCACACCTTGTCTCCCCTTTAAGCTCAATATGTCACTCCCACTCCACCCACTACCCCCTGAGCTAGGGCTCAGGAAGCAGATTGTTAATTGAAGCTGGTTGGGCAGACACTGAGCATGTCCTGAGGTTAGAACACTCTGCTCAGGAGCACACTTGCCCAGTTAGGCACTCTGCAAGTATTTATGGTGTGCCCTCTGACAGGCTACAGGGAGCCAGGGAAAGGGCATTTTGAACACAAAGTGAGAAGCTTGGTTCATTTAAAGAAATCCTTTGCCAAAGAGAAGAGTAAGAGTGCATTTAGAGAATGAACTGTCCTCCAATTCTTGGTCACTATGAGTTTGGTTTTTTGCATGTTTTATGATATGAAGGCAAGAGGGCAAGAGAATGGTGACTCCTGTTGATTTCGTGCTTACAAGTTCTTCATACTTGACCTTATCTGTCCCCATCTTCACAGACACTTCGGGCGGGAAGTAGTTACCCTATTTAATAGAGACAAAGAATCAGGCTCAGAAAAACAAAGGGATGGACTTGCCTGAGGTCCCGTTGTTCCTCAGTCACAGAACCAGGATTCAAATCCAGAGCCTCTGATGCCATTGGCCATGCCCATTCCACAAGGCTTGGTCTCAGGCTTTGAGATGCCCCCAGGGCTGCATTACAAGATCAGAGCACTTTTTCCAGAAATTCCTGGGAATAGTCTCTGCTGTGTCCAGCCAGGCCTGTGCACGTTGCCTCCTCGGAATGAATGAATGGCTAAGCTGGAATCAGAGTTCTTGACACCTACCTCTGACTCCTCCATCCAGTCATCTATGCTTTGAGGGCTTATTGAGCACCAACAATATCCTAGGCACTAACTCTGTAACCCTGAGCAATGCATTTCATTGTGACCCTGACCCTCCATGTCATCTGTCACCCAAGATTGACAAGCTGCTGGGCAGCTTGTAGGACTTTTTTAAGAGTCATATGAGATGATGTATAGGGCTGTATATGGGTTTTGAAAATCATAGTGTATTATACCGATATTCAGTATTAGTGTTTAATTCTAAGTCTGGACTTGGCTGGCCTGGTTTGTGTGATTAAAGAGGATCTGAGGTTAGGGGTATGTGTCTGTGTGTGTGTGTGTGTGTGTCCTGTCTGGTAGTAGCCACATTTTCAGTAATGTCATTTTTCGTAATTAAATGCTTCAAACATCCTTTCCCAGATTCCCTATAATGAGTAAGGGTTTTCACTACAAAGTCAGATGCTTTTAGTATCAGTTATCAATTGCTGTATAACAAGTTACCCCAAAACTCAGCAGCTTAAAGCAACAAATGTTTATTATCTCACAGTTTTTACGGGTCAAGAATCCAGGCACAGGCCAGGCATGGTAGCTCATGCCTATAATCCCAACACTTTGGGAGGCCAAGGTGGGCAGATTGCTTGAGGCCAGAAGTTCAAGACCAGCCTAAGCAACATAGCGAGACCCCCATCTCTACAAAAAATACAAAAATTAGCCAAGTGTGGTGGTGCACGCCTGTGGTCCCAGCTACTCAGAATGCTGAGGTGAGAGGATTGCCTGAGCCCAAGAGGCGGAGGCTGCAGTGAGCCGAGATTGCACCACTACACCATAGCCTGGGTGACAGAGGGAGACCCTGTCTCAAAAAAATAAAATGACTGGGCATGGTGGCTCACACCTGTAATCCCAGCACTTTGGGAGGGTGAGGCAGGCGGATCACCTGAGGTCAGGAGTTCGAGACCAGCCTGGCCAACATGGTGAAGCCCGGTCTCTACTAAAAATACAAAAATTAGCCTGGCATGGTGGCACACACCTGTAGTCCCAGCTACTCGGGAGTCTAGGGCAGGAGAGTCACTGGAACCTGGGAGGCAGAGGTTCCAGTGAGCCAAGGTCATGCCACTGCACTCTAGCCTGGGTGACAGAGCAAGATTCTGTCTCAAAAAATATATAAATATAAATATATATATATAAATATATATATATAAATATATATATAAATATATATATAAAAATATATATATATAAATATATATATAAATATATATAAAAATATATATATAAATATATATATAAATATATATAAAAATATATATATATAAATATATATATAAAAATATATATATATAAATATATATATAAATATATATATAGAGAGAGAGAGAGAGAGAGAGAGAGAGGGAGGATCCAGGTACAACTTAGCTGTGTCCTCTGCCACAGGGCCTCTTACAGGCTGCAGTCAAGGTATTACCAGGGCTGTGGTCCTCTCCTGGCTCAACTTGGGGAGGAGCTGCATCCAAGCTCCGCCGTGTGGTTGCTGGTAGGATTCCGTTCCTAATGGGCTGTGAAATTGGAGGCCTCAGTTCCTCACTGGCTCTTGTGGCCAGTAGATACCCTGAGTTCTGGAAGTCACAGTCTTTTGTAACCTAATCCCAGAAGGGACACCCCATCACCTTCACTGTATCCTCCTTGTTGGAAGCAGGTCACTAGGCGCCACCCTTACTTAAGGGAAGGGGATGCATGAGGCTATGAACACCAGGAGAAGGGGATACTGGGGGCCATAATGGAAATCTGCCTCTCACATGCCCGAGGTTGGATTCCAACCCTGCCACTTAGCAGCTGTGTACCTTGGGCGCACAGCTCCCCCTCTCTTGAGTCTCACTGACCTGTCTGTTTGCTGTTATGAGACTGGGGTGCAATTATGCACATAAAGAACATTGGCAGGGCCTGGTATCATGTTCCTACTTTATTTTATTTATTTATTTGTTTGTTTGTTTGTTTGTTTGAGACAGAGTCTCCCTCTGTCACCCAGGCTAGAGTGCAGTGGCATGGTCTTGGCTCACTGCAACCTCTGCCTCCCGAGTTCAAGCGATTCTCCTGCCTCAGCCTCCCGAATAGCTTGGATTACAGGCACCCACCACCATGCCCAGCTAATTTTTGCATTTTTAGTAGGGACGGGGTTTCGCCATGTTAGCCAGGCTAGTCACAAACTCCTGGCCTCAAGTGATCCACCCACCTTGGCTTCCCAAAGTTTTGGAATTACAGGTGTGAGCCACTGTGCCCGGCGTGTTTATACTTTATAAGGGGTAGTGGCTCATAACTGCCTGTTCTCCTCCTCACCTGCATTCATCCACCTGGACCCAGGCCTGGCTGCTTCCTGCTTTCTCGGCTCACGCTGAACACCAAGTGCTAGGTCCAGAAATGCCCCTCTCCCACTCAAAGCCTCTTCTCTCACATTGGGGCTGGCTCTTGTGATTGTAGGCTCTTGTCCCAAGCCCCACCTGCCTGCTCTGGATCTTTGGGCAAGACCTGGATAGAATTTGGGGTGAGGGTGAGGTGACTGGTTTAACCCCAATTCTGTGCTTCGGGAGGCACGACCAGGGGGCAGTTAACAATCCAAGGCCAGCTGGGCACAGTGGCTTGCACCTGTAATCCCAGCATTTTGGGAGGCTGAGGCGATTGGATCCCTTGAGCCCAGGAGTTTGAGACCAGCCTGGCCAACATAGCAAGACCCCAACTCTACAAAAAATACAAAAATTAGCTGGGTGCCATGGTGCCTGCCTGTAGTCGAGCTACTCAGGAGGCTGAGGTGGGAGGATCACTCGAGCCCCAAAAGGTCGAGGCTGCAGTGAGCCTTAATCACACCACTGCACTCCAGCCCAGGTGATAGAGTGTGACTGTGTCTCAAAAAAAAAAAAAAAAAAAAAAACCCCAAGAAACAAACAAACAAAAAAACAATCCAGGGCCACCTGCCTTCCCCACTGCCCATCAATCCACCCGATCCTATCCTTCCCAGCTGAGAAAGGGCTCCTTCTTCCTCCCCCTTCCTCTGTAGACGTTCATCCCTTTCTCCACATGCTGGAGGCAGTCCACAGCCGTGAACTCCTCAGCTGGGCCCTGGGGTAAACCTGGTTTTTTGAACCTTTTCATTTGACACCAGATTCTGTCCTCCCATTTCTCTGAGGAAGGGATTGTGAGCTCCCGGAGGGCAGGGACCAGTCCTTCATCACCCTAGTATCGCCAGACTTTCCTGTTTGGTCATTTGTCATCTGCATTCCCATTCATTTGTCCTCTCCATTGACAGAGCCCCTACTCTGTACCAGCTCAGGGCTGGACAGTAGGAGTACGATAACAACATGGCTGCCCTCATGGCGTTTACCACCTAGAGGGCAGGGCAGATGTTGACTAAGCATTTAGAACAGTGGTTCCCAAAGTGTGGCCAGGGTACCCCTGGGGGTTCCTTTCAGGGGGTCTGTGAGGTCAAAACCATTTATATAATAATACTAAGACATTATTGGCCTTTTCACTCTGGTTCTTTCATGAGTATACAGTGGAGTTTTCCAGAGGCTGCATCGCCTGCGAGGAGGTCATCACTCTGGTGGCTCATGAATATGTGCTTGTGTATTATGGGTTTTTTTTTTGTTTTGTTTCATTTTGTTTTTCAGACAGAGTCTCACCCTGTAGCCCAGGCTGGAATGTAGTGGCACGATCTTAGCTCACTGCAACCTCCACCTCCCAGGTCACGGTTCAAGCAATTCTCCTGCCTCAGCCTCCCGAGTAGCTGGGATTACAGGCACACGCCACCATGCCCAGCTGATTTGTGTATTTTTAGTGGAGACAGGCTTTCGCCATGTTGGCCAGGCTGGTCTTCAACTCCTGACCTCGTGATCTGCCCACCTTGGCCTCCCAAAGTGTTGGGATTACAGGCGTGAGCTACCGTGCCTGGCCATTATGTTTTAAATATGTCTCCGTTTCTATTTCTAAATATTTCTAATATTTCTAAATTTGTAAATATAGACAAATTTAAACCACATAGACAAAAGCTCTTTGAGGTCTTCAGTGTTTTTAAAAAATATAAAGGGGTCTTAGCACCAGAATATCTGAGAACTATTAAATTAGAAGTGTGAGAGCCTCAGTGAATGTGTTGAATGAATGAGTGAAAAAACTGCTAAATTTCATGGCTATTTCCCATTCACTTAACCAAGTCTATGTGAACAGGGGTTGTGTTGCATTCTCCTATGTAAGTACCTCTTTTGTCCAGGGTAGCATAGTTAAGTCCCATTTGGTTGGTCAATAGATATTTACTGAGCATCTGAGCAAGAACCGTACTCAGCATAAAACCAGGTTCTGCCCTCAGAAAGCTCTCAATCCAGTGGCTGGGCATGGTGGCTCACACCTATAATCCCAGCACTTTGAGAGGCCAAGGTGGGAGGATCACATGAAGCCAGGAGTTTGAGACCAGCCTGGGCAACAAAGTGAGACTCCATTTCCACAAAAAAATTAAAAAATTAGCCAGGCATGGTGGCACGTGCCTATAGTTGTAGCTACTTGGGAGATTGAAGCAGGAGGGTCACTCAAGCCCAGGAGATCAAGGCTGCTGTGAGCTGTGATCGCACCACTGCACTCAAGCCTGGATGACAGAGCAAGACCCGGTTTCAAAAAAAAAAAAAAAATATATATATATATATAGAGAGAGAGAGAGAGAGAGAGCTCTTAATCTAGTGAACAATCAGATGAATTTGCAAATAATTCCTCATGCAATGCTTTGAGAGGGGTTTTCACCAGGAAGAATGGCATAGGAGAGAAGACGCGATCAGTACTTACATTTGCAGGAGACAGTAACAGGATGGAATCGGGGCAACATCATAAAACAGGGGAGACATGATTGCTTGGCTGAGTCTTCCAAAAGAACTGGGCATGCACCCAGCTGGTCAAGATGGAGAAAGGGCATCCCAGAGTGATACTAAAGTTGGTTGGAAGGCTGTGAATAAGCCATGGGTTGAAGGTCATGTGGCACGTCAATGACATCAGTTACTCCAGGGTGTGAGGATGGGGCTGGACGGGAGACGGGCCATCATAGAGGGTAATGGGTGCCATAGTGGGAATCTGTAGAAGCTGCAGGGCTTGCTGACCCCTGGGTCCTGCCCTCCAGACCATGATGAGAATCCAGTATGGTCTTCGCGGCTCTGTGTGGACTTCTCTCCTTTCCCCAATCCCTCTCTCCCCTGCACCCCCAACTACAGCCACATCAGCTATCTTCAAGTGCCTCAAACATCTTCCTATCTCAGGAGCTTTGCACAGGAGACTTCCTTCAGCCTGGAATGTTCTATCTCTATCCCATCCCCTCTCTTCTGCCCAGTTAACTGCCAAATGTTCTTCAGGCTTCGACTCAAGTGTCCCCACCTCCAGGAAACCTTCCTTGACTACCCCTTGGATCAAACTGGTCCCTCTGTCACACACCTCCATAATACCATGGAAATCTCCTTCAGAGCACTGTCTACAATTAGGCACCCACTGTACACCATGCTAGGAATGAAGGGGTTTACAAGAAGCTTACAGCCTGGTATGGAGAGACAGATAATAAACTGTAAACACATAAGATAATAATCATTATTACTATCATAATAGCTAATAGTTATAGAGCACTTACTATTTGCCAGTCATTATTCCAAGTGCCTTCTTTTTTATATTATTGTTATTTTTTTAGACAAGGTCTCACTCTGTCTCCCAGGCTGGAGTGAAGTGGCATGATCATAGCTCATACAGCCTCAACCTCCTGGGCTCAAGCAATCCTCCCACCACTTCAGCCTCCCAAGTAGCTGGGACGGCACATGCCACCATGCCCAGCTAATTTTTTTTTTTTGTAGAGACATATGGGGCATGGGGGTGGAGGAAGTCTCGCCATGTTGCCCAGGCTGGTCTCAAACTCCTGGCCTCGAGCCATCCTCCTGCCTTCGCCTCCCAAAGTGCTGGGGTTATAGGCATGAGCCACTGTGCCCAGTTTCTTTTTTGTGGTTTTGCTTTTAAAAAAACATTTTGTTTAGATTTTTTTATTATTATTTCCTCAAATGTTTCATTTTGAAAAATTTCAAACCTGCAGGAAAGTTGCATGAAACTCTTCTATTCTTCATCCAGATTTACTGATCATTAACATTTTACATTTGCCCTTTTTTTGACATCAATTTTTTTTTCCCTAAACCAGTTAAGAGTAAGTGGTAGACATTTAGATTCTTCATCCCTAAATACTTCAGTGTGCATCTCCCAGGAACAAGGACATACTCTCAGATAATCACAATTCCACTAGCATGCCCAGGATTTTTTTTTTTTTTTTTTTTTGAGATGGAATCTAGCTCACTCTGTTGCCCAGGCTGGAGTGCAGTGGCGCGATCTTGGCTCACTGCAACCTCTGCCCCCTGGGTTCAAACGATTCTCCTGCCTTAGCCTTCCAAGTAGCTGGGACTATAGGCGTGTGCCACCATGCCTGGCTAATTTTTGTATTTTTAGTAGAGACGGGATTTCACCATGTTGGCCAGGCTGGTCTGAAACTCCTGACCTCAGTGATCCCCCCGCCTCAGCCTACCAAAGTGCTAGCATTACAGGTGTAAGCCACTGTGCCTGGCCACCCAGGAAATTTTAAATTAATGTGACATATTATTTAATATATGGTACATATTCAGATGTCTCCAGTTGCCTTCAAAGTGCCCTTTATAGCTGGCATTTTTTTTGCCACCCCTGGGACCAATCAAGACTCATGTGCTGCATTTGGTTGTCATAGCTAAGTACTTTTAACATGTTAATTAATCTTCCAATGAGGGGGTTCTATCCCCATTTTACAGATGGGGGAACTGAGGCACAGACAGGTTGCATTACTTGTCCAAGTTATACAGCCAGAGAACGGTGGAACCCATTGGTCTTTCCAATCTCCCTGCCTTTCTCTCTCTCTCTCTTTTTTTTTTTTGAGGCAGAGTTTTGCTCTCGTTGCCCAGGCTGGAACACAATGGCACGATCTCAGCTCACCGCAACCTCTGCCTCCAGGGTTCAAGTGATTCTCCTGCCTCAGCTTCCCGAGTAGCTGGGATTACAGGCATGTACCACCACGCCTGGCTAATTTTGTATTTTTAGTAGAGATGGGGTTTCTCCATGTTGGTCAGGCTGGTCTCAAACTCCTGACCTCGGGTGATCCGCCCACCTCAGCCTCCCAAACTGCTGGGATTACAGGTGTGAGCCACCGCGCCTGGCCCTCTCTCTTTTTTAAAAAATTTAATTTAATTTTAAGTTCCAGGATGCATGTGCAGGATATACAGGTTTGTTACATAGGTAAACGTGTGCCATGGTGGTTTGCTGCACCTATCAACCCATCACCTAGGTATTAAGCCCCACATGCATTAGCAATTTATCCTGATGTTCTCCCTCCCCCAGCCCCCGCAACAGGCCCCAGTATGTTGTTCCCCTCCCTGTATCCATGTGTTCTCATTGTTCAGCTCTGATTTATGAGTGAGAACATGTGGTGTTTGGTTTTCTGTTCCTGTGTTAGTTTGCTGAGGATAATGGCTTCCAGCTCCACCCATGTCCCTGCAAAGGACATGATCTCGTTCCTTTTTATGGCTGCATAGTATTCCATGGTGTATATGTACCACATTTTCTCTATCCAGTCTATCATTGATAAGCATTTGGGTTGATTCCATGTCTTTGCTATTGTGAATAGTGCTGCAGTGAACGTATGCGTGCATGTATCTGTTTATCGTAGCACTAGTTACCTGCCTTTCCTCTTGACCCTTGTGTTCTATTCTCAACCTAGAAGGCGGAGGGATCGCTTTAAACTGCAAATCATATCAGGTCACTCCTCTGCTCCAAGCCCTACCATGGGCCCCTTACTTCTCTCAGAATAAGAGCCAAAGACCTCACAATGGCCCACAAGTACCTACACCATATGCACCCCTCACCCTCCATCACTTCTGTGACCTCATCTCCCTCTCCCATCCACCCCAACAACCCCAGCCCAGCTATCCTCTCCTTCCTGTTCCTCCCGCACATCAAACACAGTCCAGCCTCAGGGCCTTTGCACATTGCTGTTGCTGCTAGAAGTGCTTTTCCCCAAGATCTCATCAGGGCTCACTCCTCACTGTCCTGCAAGTTTTACCCAAATGTCAGTATCTCCGTAAAGTTGTCCTTAACGTCCCAACCCGCCCAAGCCCTCCCTGTTCCTTCTCCCTCCTGCTTTTTGTTTGTTTGTTTTTTGTTTTTTTGTTTTTAGACAGATTCTTGCTCTGTCACCTAGGCTGGAGTGCAGTGGCACAAACTCAGCTCACTGCAACCTCTGCCTCCGGGTTCAAACGATTCTCTTGCCTCAGCCTCCCGAGTAGCTGGGACTACAGGCGCCCACCACCACGCCCGGCTAATTTTTGTATTTTTTAGTAGAGACTGGTTTTCACCATGTTGGCCAGGGTGGTCTCAAACTCCTGCCTCAGGTGATCCGCCCATCTCGGCCTCCCAAAGTGCTGGGATTACAGTCCTGAGCCACCACACCTGTCCCCTCCCCTGCTGTTTCATCTTGGTGCTTCCTACTGATAACTCAGTATTTTGGAGTCGCATTGTCTCCCCAACGCGAGTGCAGGCGCCCCGAAGGCAGGGGTTGTCTGTCTAGTCCGCTGCCCCTTCTCCTGCTCCCGAGACCGAGGCAGACGCTCAGTAAAGAGTCCTGGTGCCTGCTGATTGCTGTCCCCGCAGCACGTGTTCTGTGAGGAGTGCCTCTGCCTGTGGCTGGACCGTGAGCGCACCTGCCCGCTCTGCCGCTCGGTCGCCGTGGACACCCTGCGCTGCTGGAAGGACGGCGCCACGTCCGCACACTTCCAGGTGTACTAGGACCGAACACTGAGGACACCCAGAAGGACGCCAAGGGTCAGCATGCCCGGACCCAGCCCTGCGGGGGCTTCCTGAGAAACAGGCCTCAAGCACTTACATCCTGCCTCTTGCCCTCCACCACCTCTGACCCCAAAGTCCCGCCCCTGTCTTGTCCTTCTGACCTTCATCTTCCTCTCTCGTTCTGTGGTATAGTGCGTGCCTCCTTCCCCTGCAAAAGGGGACGTCTTCCTAACTCAGACTTGATGCCCTTCTAGATGCATCTTCCTTCTCCACTCCAAGTCAAGGACCTGGCAATACATGAAGTTCCCACTTGTTGGTTATTTTCTCTTTCTTTTTTCTTTTCTTTTCTTTCTCTCTCTCTCTGTTTCCCTCCCTCCCTCCTTCCTTCCTTCCTTCCTTTTTTTTTTTTTTTTAAAACAAGGTCTCGCTCTATCACCCAGGCTGGAGTGCAGTGGCACAATCTCGGCTCGCTGCAACCTCCACCTCCTGGGTTCAAGCGATTCTCCTGCCTCAGCCTCCCGAGTAGCTGGGATTACAGGCACCCACCAACACACTTGGCTAATTTTTGTATTTTTTAGTAGAGACAGGGTTTTGCCATGTTGGCCAGGCTGGTCTCCAACTCTTGACCTCAAATGATCAGCTCGCCTCAGCCTCACGAAGTGCTGGGATTACAGGCATGAGCCACCGTGCCCAGGCTCACTTTTTTTTTTTTTTTTTTTTTTTTGAGACAGGGTCTGGGTCTTCACCCAGGCTGGAGTGCAGTTGGCACAATCACAGCTCACTGCAACCTTGAACTCCTGGGCCCAAGCCATCCTCCCGCCTCAGCCTCCCAAGTAGCTGGGACTACAGGTGTGTGCCACCAGGCCTGGCTAATTTTTTTTTTTTTTTAATTTTTAGTAGAGGCGAGGACTTATTATGTTGTCCAGGGTGTTCTCAAACTCCTGGGCTCAAGCAATCCTCCTGTCCTGGCCTCGCAAAGTGCTGAGTGCTGGAATTACAGGTATGAGCCCCTGTGCCCAGCCCACCTGCTGGTTATTTTAACTTAGTACCTAGTACCTAGGACTTGATGGTGCAGGCTGGGGAGGAGCCTAGAGATCACTGCCTCCCAGATAGCCCAGGCCTGCAGATTAGAATCCCTGTGAGCCCTGTGAAGTATTTTTTCTTTTCTTTTCTTTTTTTTTTTTTTTTTGTTGTTGTGAGACAGAGTCTTGCTCTGTTGCCCAGGCTGGAGTGCAATAGCACGATCTTGGCTCACTGCAACCTCCGCCTCCCGGGTTCAAGTGATTCTCCTGCCTCAGCCTCCCGAGTAGTTGGGACAACAGATGCGTGCCACCATGCCCAGCTAATTTTTTTTTTGTATTTTTAGTAGAGATGGGGTTTCACCACGTTGGCCAGGCTGGCCTCAAACTCCTGACCTCAAGTGATCCACCTGCCTCAGCCTCCCAGAGTGCTGGGATTACAGGCATGAGCCACCACACCTGGCCCAAAGTATTTTCAAAATACAGTTGTTGGGCCCCACCATATACCTGTAATGACTTAAGGTCCCAAATACTTCATGCGCAGCAGGCAAAGCATGCAGCATCCTGCTTGGATTACGTGCTGTCATCCTCACAACAGCCCTGTGATGGGGGAGGTACTGTTGGGTCCCCTGTTTTATAGATGAGGAAACTTGGGCACAGAGCTTGGTGCGGTAACTTTCCCAGGGTCACCCAGCCAGCATGGGCGGGCCAAGTTTCCAACAGAGGCCTGGTACAGTTTCAGAACCCACATCTAAAAAAAAATAAATTTATTAGAGATGAGGTTTCTAATAAAAATCCAGGTTGTCCAGGCTAGATTCAAACTCCTGGGCTCAAGTGATCCTCCCTCCTCAGCCTCCCAAGCAGCTGCAACTACAGGCACACTCCGCTATCCCCAGCAGAGCCCGCACTCTTAACCTCCGCACTGCTCTGCCCCTCAGACATTCCAGGCATGGGGCCCAGCAGACACGGTCTTCTAAAAGCACACGAGAGGCCGGGTGTGGTGGCCCATGCCTGTAGTGCCAGCATTTTGGGAGGCTGAAGCAGGCGGGTCACCTGAGGTCAAGAGTTCAAGACTAGCCTGGCCAACATGGCAAAACCCCCTCTTTACTAAAAAATACAAAAATTAGCCGGGCGCGGTGGCGGGTGCCTGTAATCCCAGCTACTCAGGAGGCTAAGGCAGGGAGAACTGCTTGAACTCGGGAGGTGAAAGTTGCAGTGAGCCGAGATTGCACCACAGCACTCCAACCTGGGTGACAGAGTGAGTGAGACTCTGTCTAAAAAAAAAAAGAAAGAAAGAAGGGAGGGAGGGAGGAAGGAAGGAAGGAAGGAAAGAAAGAAAGGTCAGCTTTGGCCCAGATGTGGTTACCCCTTGGTCTCCTGTCTTTATGTCTTTCTCCTCTTCCTATTCTGTCATCTCCCTCACTTAAGTCTCAGGCCTGTCAGCAGCTCCTGTGGACATTGCCATCCCCTCTGGTAGCCTTCAGAGCAAACAGGACAACCTATGTTATGGATGTTTCCACCAACCAGGGTAGTGGCATGGAGCACCGTAACCATCTGTGCTTCTGTGATCTCTATGACAGAGCCACTTCTCCACCTCTGAAATGTTCCCTGCTCTGAAATCTGGCATGAGATGGCACAGGTGACCACGCAGAAGCCACCAGAATCTTGCCTGCCCTATTCCTCCTCCCAAGTCTGTTCTCTTATTGTCAACCTCAGCACAACAGGCTGGCGCCAATGGCATTACAGAGAAAGCAATCTGTGTGGCTAGTGGGCAGATTACCATGCAAGCCCCAGGAGAAATGGAGGAGCTTTGTAGCCACCTCGCTGTCAGCCAGTATTAACATGTCCCCTTCCCCCTGCCCCGCCGTAGATTCAGGACATTTGCCCCTGTGTGCCACCAAACCAGGACTTTCCCCTTGGCTTGGCATCCCTGGCTCTCTCCTGGTACCCAGCAAGACGTCTGTTCCAGGGCAGTGTAGCATCTTTCAAGCTCCGTTACTATGGCGATGGCCATGATGTTACAATCCCACTTGCCTGAATAATCAAGTGGGAAGGGGAAGCAGAGGGAAATGGGGCCATGTGAATGCAGCTGCTCTGTTCTCCCTACCCTGAGGAAAAACCAAAGGGAAGCAACAGGAACTTCTGCAACTGGTTTTTATCGGAAAGATCATCCTGCCTGCAGATGCTGTTGAAGGGGCACAAGAAATTGGAGCTGGAGAAGATTGATGAAAGTGCAGGTGTGTAAGGAAATAGAACAGTCTGCTGGGAGTCAGACCTGGAATTCTGATTCCAAACTCTTTATTACTTTGGGAAGTCACTCAGCCTCCCTGTAGCCATCTCCAGGGTGACGGAACCCAGTGTATTACCTGCTGGAACCAAGGAAACTAACAATGTAGGTTACTAGTGAATACCCCAATGGTTTCTCCAATTATGCCCATGCCACCAAAACAATAAAACAAAATTCTCTAACACTGCAAAGAGTGAGCCATGCCTGTTAACACTGTAAAGAATGTAACATGTGGGGGACACACAGGGGCAGATGGGATGGTTTAGTTTAGGATTTTATTAGTGCATGCCCTACCCTCTGGGGGAACGTCCCATCTGAGGTTTTCTTCTCGGTGGGGGGATTTAACTTCTGTCCTAGGGAAAACAGTGTCTGATGAGGAGTGTTTCCAACACAGGCTACATGAATTCCCCTATACCAGTGCGAAAGCAGCCAGGAGTCCCCGTTGGAAAAGAACAATGCCACTCTCTTTTATGTATCTTGGTTCTGCAACTCATTTGTTGTAAGTAGGGTTAATCGAGTATCAGGTTCACAGTATCCTGCCCTTATTATTTTATGATTCACTGACTCAAGTTCCACGAAGTCCTTAGAAATGGACCTCTTCATGTAAAATATCTTGAGAATAATAAATGTGAGGGAATAAGAAAGGCAAGCTTTGGACACAGATATGATAGGTGCATCAGCTTCGGAAGAGAAGAATGATGTGCAGAGTGTTAGGAAGACATCCGGGCTGCTGAGACTCGGGATTAGAAGAAAGAGAGGTAAATAAAGTGGGTCCTGGAATCTTTTAGGACTTCTGCTGTAGGACAAACAGCTGCCTTTGGTGTTTTAATGTCTCCCAAAGTACCCTTCAGCCAATAAATACCATCTGTTGGTGCAACTTGTGTTTGTGGTCTTGATTTTCCTTTCACCTCTTGAAGCCAAGTGCAACTGTCTTAGATCAAAGGAGAAGAAGCCCTTCGCGGAGTGGGTGGTTGTCTTATGTTGGTTTCTCCTAAAGCAGATCCTGTTCAGGTGCATGTGATTTATTACAGCAGTGCTCCCACGAGAAACCAGTAAGGGAATCATGAGTGAAATAGAACAGGGAAGGGAAAGAAGCCAAGCTCTGGCGAACTCTCAGTCTTAGCCGGATCCCCCAGGGAGCTCAGGAGCATAAGTTTCATCTCAGAGTTTGTCCCATCCCACAAAATACACACCAATTGATACTTGGCACTGGGCTGATGGGGGGACTTCCTGCACTTCAGACTCTCCCCTAAGAGGCTCCAAGGGGAAGCCTCTGAAGGCCCCAGATACCAGCAAAGCACACGAAAGTGCAG